>NC_000011.10:103839091-104142121 GCF_000001405.40 Homo sapiens | reverse complement strand
GTATGTGATATATATGTATGTATTATCATTAATATGGCAGTATTAATATGGTAAGTGTGAAAACAAGATGCTGAAATAATTCCATTAGGGAACTTCACCAACCCCAAGACAATAAGGCATCCTTTGGTGCAATTGGAAATGGAATTCAAGCCAGGCTATAAAGATGGTATATTAGTTTCTTTGAGTTCTGGATTAAATTGCACAACTGTGGTGGCTTAATACAACAGAAATTTATTTTCTTAAATTTCTGAAGATAAAAATGTCGAAATAGGGGTATCAGTAAGGCCACACACCTTCTGGAGGGCGTAGGGGAGGCCTGTTACCTGCTCTTGGCTGCGGACATTCTTTGGCTGCATCACTCCAGTTTCTGCCTTCATGGTCACATTGCCTTCTCCTCTTTTGTGTGTGTTAAATGCTCCCTAGCTTCACTCATATAGGGACATGTGAGATTGCATTTAGGGCTCACATGGATAATACATAAGCTCTTCCTCACAAGACCTTGAACTCAGCCACATTTTTTTTGGTTCAGTGCAGTGGCATGTGCCTGTGGTCTCAGATACTCAGGAGGCTGAGGCAAGAGGATTTCTTGAGCTAAGGAGTTCAAATTTACAGTGAGCTAATAAGTGGAAACTTAGAGATAAGAGAACTCACTTAAGAGATTTCACCACTGCACTCCTGCCTGGGTGACAGGGCAAGATCCTGACTCTAAAAAAAAAAAAAAATTAAATTAAATCTCTGTATCGTTCCAATTTTAGTATATGTGCTGCCGAAGCAAGCACAAAAAAAATTAAATCTCATCTTTTGCCATCTAAGATATGTTCACAAGTTCTAGAGATTAGAATGTAGACATCTTTTTTTGTGGAGTATGGGTACCGTTCAACCTACAACAAATGAAAACCTTTTAAAAAGCTGAATCTGGGGAGTATATTACAGGTTTTTTAACTACGTTGGTTTTAGTTTCTTAGAAACTAGGCTAAACAGAAATGTAAGGCAGGAAAGAGAAGGCATGTTAGGTAGCAGACTAGGAGACCTGTCATCAGTGAGCACCGTAAATTGTGTTTGGAGAAGAAGAGAGATAGAAGCTAGCAAAGATAGGATGGTCCAGACCATGTAGGCCCTTTGCTGCTGGGCAGCAACATTAAATGAATTGGAGAACCAGTGAAAATCAGATAGCAAATCTATTAACATAGCCAAGGTAAGACCTCACAAAAGCTTACATATAGCTATTAGCTGTGAGAGTAGATAGCAAGGGAGATATTTCAGCAGTAAAATTGATAAACAATTGACTGGCTTTATATCCTAATGAAGAAAAGTCTAAATGTGTGGATAACTAGGAAAAGGTTAGGACATTAGCAATAGGGAGATAGTAAAATAGAAATGATTGTTGTGTTTGGATATGTTGCTTCAGTTGCCAGGATAATGTTCAGGGGGGGATATAGTTAGAAATGTCTAGTTGGTCTTTGGGGAGAGTTTGGCATTGGAGTGATCTACATTGAAGGGTGAGGTTCCCAGAGGGAGAAAGAGAAGGGGAAAAAGAAAATCTCTCTTTTCCTGAAGGAAAGTTGGGGGACTCTTTCCATTAGAGGTTAGGTGAAAGAAAAAAAGAACATTCCTGTTTCCCTGTGTTTAAAAGAGTGCACCTTTTGAACATGTTTTAACAGAGGATTGTTGATGGCCACAGAGGATTGTTGGATTTACGGGTTTTTCATGCACTAAGTAATTGCATGTGAGCTCAATCTCTTTAACTTGTCTCTGCTGGAATGTTTATGTGTGAATCTGCTGTTTCTTTGCATTTTGTGCTAAAGTAATTTTTCTTTAATTAGGACCTTATTAAAGCAACATGGTTATATTTGCTCTTTGTTTTATGGTAATGACTGATCAACAAAATGCTAATTGGCATTATAATTTTGTGCTATATTTGTTCTGATATTCAAATGGTTTAATTAGGATTTAATTTGCACACTTGCCTGAATAGTTCTCTATACTGGTATTTCCTTTGGTTTTTCTCGTTCAGACAGACAAGTTATTTATTTATTTATTTATTTTTTTTTTTTTGAGACGGAGTCTCGCTCTGTCGCCCAGGCCAGACTGCGGACTGCAGTGGCGCAATCTCGGCTCACTGCAAGCTCCACTTCCTGGGTTCACGCCATTCTCCTGCCTCAGCCTCCCGAGTAGCTGGGACTACAGGCGCCCGCCACCGCGCCCGGCTAATTTTTTGTATTTTTTTTTTTTTTTTTTTTTTTTTTTTAGTAGAGACGGGGTTTCACCTTGTTAGCCAGGATGGTCTCGATCTCCTGACCTCATGATCCACCCGCCTCGGCCTCCCAAAGTGCTGGGATTACAGGCGTGAGCCACCGCGCCCGGCCGTTATTTATTAAGACATGACAAGAACCCAAGGTGTTGTCACTGTCTGCAGTGTTAATGCTGGTTTCTAGGGAAGAGTTTTCTTTATGAATCAGGGAAATATGCAGTTGATTCCAATGATGTTGTGAGTAAAGTCTTTGTTGTTTAAAGTAAAAAATCACTGGGTTACCCTGCATCTACTTGAAAGCAGTAGCTACTACACGTAACTTTTGTGTTAGTCTTTAGTCTTTAGTGTTTGTGATCGGATTGTTGTCCCAGAAGCCTATTTCTAGTTCAGTTTGGATCCATGTAAGCCTGTTCTTTCACCGTTTATCAGATAGTTAATTTGTACTGGGGCAGTTAGTGCTCAGCTTTTCCCATTAACTGTCTGTTATCTTTACTCATTTTACTTTTCAGCTGTTTCATTAGAAGTTATATCCCCGGCAGCCTCCATGTATTATGCTCTGAGGAAGCTCTCAGGATGCTGAGAGGATGCAGTGTGAAGCATCAGATTCCTGCATTAGGAATCAGTTGTTCTACAATTCCTTACCAGCTTTCTTACTCCATAATGCCTCTGAGTTATCTGTAAATTGGAAATAATACAATTCTACATTATTGCTAGATCAGATAAATGAATTATCAAATGGGAAGATGTGTGTGTAAAAGGACTCTGAAAAAATTCAAAGCACCATAAACCGTATAATATTTACTGTACCCAGCCAGGCATGGTGGCGCATGCCTGTAATCCCAGTACTTTGGGATTCTGAGGCAGGCGGATCACCTGAGGTCAGGAGTTCGAGACCAGCTTGGCCAACATGACCAAAACCCGTCTCTACTAAAAATACAAAAATTAGCTGGACGTGGTGACTTGTGCCTGTAGTCCCATCTTCTGGGGAGACTGAGGCAGGAGAGTTGCGTGAACCTGGGAGGTGGAGGTTTCAGTGAACCAAGATCATGCCTCTGCACTCCAGCCTGGGCAACAGAATGAGACTCCATCTCAAAAAAAATGAGACTCCATACTGTACCCTATGTTTAATACTGTAAGTATAAAGTCATTTTATTTGGAGTTGATATATTTGGACCACAAAGAAGGGAAGTCAGATGAACTGAAGATGTGCATCTGAAACCATATCATGTTTATTAATCACCTGGGGATCCTGTTAAAATGCAGACACCTGCAGAGTCAGGCCATCCAAGATGGGCCTGAGATTGTGCATCTAACAGCTCCCAGGTTGTGTCCATGCTACAGGTTTGTGGACCACCGTTTTAAAGAGCTTGTGCTTTGCTATAATACACATAGGGCTAGGAGGAAACATAAGCCTTTATTTAACTGAATGGAGAATCATACATTTTCAAAACTGGGAAACAAAATTAATCTAACCAGGGAGGTTGCTGTTTAATGAGCTATATAGTGAAATCTTTTGTGATGCCAATTTTTGTCTAGAATAACTGCTTTGTAAATGTGGATTTCCTCTTTGGGTTTTCATAAAAGTGAGTTTTTTAATGTAAAAAAATTAATGTATAATTTAGAATGTGTTGTCATTTTTTCTCTATTTAATAAGTATGTAATTTAGGGAGAATATTTATCATTTCATTCCTTTGTTTAATTCATAGAATTATTACAGCACATTAGCTATCACAACTTATGGATTTACATCATTTGTTTATAATAAAAAAGTGTTCAGAAAATATTCGTCTTCATAACATAGGTCAAGTTATGGGGTGCAAGTGTTGGCTAAAAGTGGAGGATACAAGATGAGCAGGTATGTTTTCTGCTTTCAATAACTCATTTTCTGCTGCAGAGATAGCCTTGTAAGCAAGCAATGGAAAACTCTGACATTTCTCTGCAAAGCTACTGCATTACATATAAGGGTGTGTCTGGGAGGGTACCAGGTGCCTGTCAGCAAAAGTTGCAAAAACAGCTTGATCTGGGTATTAAGTGGGCCTGTTGGGAAAGGCAGGAGTGTCAAATGTCGGACAGAACTCCAGACAGAGAAATCCAGATATCCAGTAGGTTAGAATGTAAAAAAAAAAAAAAAAAAAAAAAAAAGTGGTGATCTATATCACTATAGAATAATTTTAGATACAATGGAAGTTTATAATCATCAGATAATTTGTTATGTGCAAGTCAAATGCCACTATCAGTCTCTTCAATAGGGTGGTCTGTGGCAAAGTGAGATCTATCAACTCGACCGTAACATTGTAAAGTATGGAATACTAAAGAGACTCAGTACTTTTTGGATCACTGTAAAATTTACCAAATATCTTTTACATTTTTTATTCTAGAAACAATACGATAAATTTTCTATTCGTAGGCATACTTGTGATTTCAGCTTTGGTCAATATATCCCAGTTCCCATGAAGGTTTTTTGTGTGCCAGTCATTCTACTTTATTCCATTTTTTTTTTTCTGTTTAAGTCTCTGTTTCTCATAGATTGAATGTATGTTGATAAGCTCCGGAAGAGCAAGGATTGAATCTCTCTTGTTTATGCTCATCAGGAGATGCCATAACATTTTATTTATTTAGGATACAGCTCTGTATTGGCCCATATCAAACAAAGGATCTTCTTTTGTTACTGAAATTCTAAACAACAGAAAGATTTAAAAATGGACTTATTATTGACAATACTGTTAGTATTATTCAGGCCATGTGGTATCACAAACCTAGTGTTCAGTAGACCCAAGCTTGGGAAATACTGGTTTTGTGGAACAAACAATGGACCAGGAAGGAGGGGCTCTGGATTGTTTCCTGAGCACAGTCACTGATAAGCCATTTCACCTCCAGCTTATTTTTTCCATGTACAAAATGAGGACATTGGACTAGTTACATTCTAAAGACCCTTCTAGCTCTAAAATCCTATGATGTATGATAGTAAAATGTGACTGTAAAATGTTCAAGGGAGTTGACCCAAATGTTTGATTATTTCTTAAAAGCATCTAGTCTAGCAGACAGGACAAATTCTTCATAAAATATAAAAGTGATGACAGATTGGTATGGTGCAAGGCGATCATGCCTGGTAGAGTGTGTTGACTTAGATTTAGTATGGAATAATCATGCTTTCCATGTTATTTACTATTGGAAAGGTGTATTTGTGAAAAGTTACATCCAAGCTAAATCTCATTCACACTTCATTGATGTTGTAATTTATAAAATGTTTATTTTTCCAGAGCAATACGTGCGTATAGTTAGAAAAATCAAGCAGAAATCCCTCAGGATTTGTAATATTGAAGAGTGGTCCTTCTAATCTGTTTTTATGCACAAGTCCCAATCCCCAGAAGAGTTTCACTTATTTTCTTTAATTGGCATTTGTTTTGTTATTTCTTGGCATATACTATTGTTTTTAGATTTGTCAACTTTAGACATTACTTATTATCTTTTTACACTGGGAGATGAGGATTGCTGGGTTTTTTGAGGAAAGGAAGGTAAACACTCTTGTTCAATCTGTCATGTTTAACTGGAAGCCTGTGAATGTGATTTTAGAAATACTTTGTTTCTTTAGAATGTTTATAGGACAGTAGCTAGAGCATTCAGTCATATATAGCCTTGACTCTCTTGCCTGTCTAGTCTCTAAGGATTAAGTCATAGACACAATATTATGTCTTTTCCTGTGTACAAGCAAGCTGAGTGGTGCCCAATGGCCTCCTTTTTCAGATTTCAAAGCTGGGGTTTACAGAGTTGCCCCTGTGTGGAATCCCTGTGCTAGGAATGCTCCTCTCTCCCTCCTCATCCCATCTCACCTGTTCCCTGGAGGTCCCTCCTTTCTCCTTCCAGACTCCAATCCGATGTCATCTTCTTTGAGAATCCTTCCCAGGCTTCCAGAGAGTTAATGGTTCCACTTCTGTCTTTCCAAAGCTCTTGGAGCTGGTGTGTAATATATTTTATCATTAGCTCTCCACCCATTCCTAGACCTCTCTCATGAGCTCAGACCCTTACATTCAGTCCCCTTATAGACACCTCAGCTCATAGCTGTCTTTCAGGCATCTCAGATTCATTAAGTGCAGGACCAAACCCATCCCAGTGTTTTCTAAAGTAGCTTTGACTTTGGCACTCTATCTTGGTGAATGGCACCCATATGAACTGAGATTTCCCACCCTCCGTTATCCTCTAATCCACCATCCTCCACACTGCAAGGAGTAGGTAGAAATTTGATCAGATACCTTCTCTTCTTAAAATTCTTCAATACCACCAAATAGCCTTCTGAGTAATGCTGATGATCTGACTTCTTCAACCCCTCCAAGCCTCATTTCACCCAGTCTTTCCACAAACTTATACCTTAAGCTTCTGGCGTGCTAAGTCACATAGAATTTATGGAAAATAGCATGTTCTCTTATTTCTGGAATTTCATACATATTGCACCATTTTGGACTACTCTCTTCTCCCTGCCACACAAACAGTCAATTCTATCTGTTAGTTCCTCCTCATCTTTCACCATCTCATCTTGAAAGCCTTTCTATGTTCCCTTAGTATTGAGATAGGTGCCCCTGCATTTGGCTGCCCCAGGCCTTTTGGCTTACTTTCCACATAACAGCCAATACCAGGTGCTGTAATAGCCACTGAAAGGGTAACCACTATCTATTTAGAACTTATTTTGTGCCAGAAACTGTGTTAAATGTTAAATGTTAAATGTTATTATATTAACACCATCTAAGTGTGATTGTCTATTTAATATAACAGATATCTTAGTCAGTTTGCCTGCCTTCCACCCATGGTTATTCTCAGAGGGACTAACTGTAGCCCCTACTGAGAGGGCAGTGGATGCCCTGCTCCTCCCCACTGGCCTCAGGGCACTGGACAAGGGCAGACACATGACTCAGCCTTGGTTAGCCAGATTTCCTGTGATAAGTAGCTGGAATTTGAACTCGGAGAGTCAGTGAGGTAGGAAGTCATGAAAGCTAAGCTGAGAATAGCTACATTCCAGTTTGTGCCTTCAGAAGGAAGAGGCAGTCAGAAAGGAGACTGCAGATGTGCAGCCCAGGGTTTTTCAGGAGGGTAGACCTCTGCTTCAGAGTTTGAGGTGTAGGCTTCAGCCCCTCCTGAGACCTGAATAAACATACTGCCTCAACTTCCAGGAGACATCTTCGTGTTCTTAACTGAAATACTGACTTTGCACTTCTTGAAGATACAGTGTGTGTAGGATCTCAGAGCTTAGCACATGACCTGACACATTGGAAGTGCTTAATAAATAAATGAATGAGTGAGTGCATGAGTGGATGAATCAGTCTGTCCTATGGACTGGGTACCACCATCTGATGCTCAAAGCCAGGTAAGACTCTTCATACCCAGTTGTTTCTGAAGCTGTATGACTTGAATTAATTAAGCTTTTTTTTTGAGGTTTATTCTCCCAGTTTGGAATTCCATTTTGTATATGTGATCAATTTTCTAATCCAACACAATAATTTCCTTTAATAGTATACTTAGGATATTTTAACTGTGATTAATGGGAAGTACTTTTCTAGAGACACTTAGCAGCTGGAAAAAATTAAGGCTAGTGTTTAATGTGAGTATTCCATTAATACTGCTGAGTTTTCAGCAGTTATGTGGTATATAGTACTCCAAAGATGGCATTGCACTTGTGTGAGTATACATTTATATCTGTGTTTGTGACCCCTAAATATTTGGTAATATACACACAGCTGGGTTCATACTTGAAAAGGGTGATGGAAATATAACTTTTCAAAAATATAGTTTATATTTTCATGCTTCCTACTTTATTATTGGCTGATAGGAATGATTAATGCTACTAAAATGCATGTAGTTGTGAGATTCATTCAGAGAAACAAGGAGATTGCACAAGTGTCTGTCTTGACATGGGTCCATATCAGCAATTAAGAGATGTTCTTTCTGTTGGCTGCTAGGTATCTTCTTTTTTACCATATCATGTCCCTGGTAAATGATATGCATGAACCCTGTATACAGAATACACCAGGACTCAGGGCTCTGCCACATAATAGCACGTTACAGAGCCTCTTCGAGCCTCAGTTTTCTTGTTATTGTTTTAATTGATAGACTGGAACTTATAAAATACTCTTGCCCTCACGAGCCTTGTCTATTACATTATATGACACATAGCAGCATTTCAGTAAACGTTAGTGACTGTTATTTGTTTAATTCAAGGAGAACTAGTTGCTGTGAATTAAAAATTGGATGGCACAGTGAAACATGTCAATAAGATCCTAAGGGAGGATAGTATTTGCAGAGAACTAGAGCATTTGTCACATACTGCCATACTTGAATATGGAGGGGCATCTTCATCTCTTGTGCTAGACAACTCCAAGTGTGTAAATATGGCTGGATATCTTCATTGTATTCTCCTTAGTTTAGAAGCTGGAAATATAATGAGAGCTTTAAAACTCTGCTTGTCACTGTAACTTTTTAAAAACAGCCCAAAAGATGTTCAGCTACAGAAGTTCCCACAGCATTTAAAAACTGCTTTAACTTATAAAAATCATGCCAAACTCTTCTTGATGAAAATTGTTCCTAATTTTAAATTTGTTATTTGTGATTTCTAAAGACTCAGTATATTAATCGAAAGTAGGAAAGATGACATTGTTGCATGCCATTTTATTGGATGCTGGCAGTCATTTAATCTTCCACTTGTTTAACAAATATTTGAGTACCAAAGTACTGTGCTACTTACCATAGGAAGTTAATATTCATTTAATCCTCATAACTAATTCTAGCCTATGAGGTGTAACAGAAGTGACATTGGTCAACTCTGGCCTGAGGCAGTTAAGAGTCAGTATGCCTCTTCCTGTGACAACCTTACAGTTCAAATGATGAAGAGGGTCTCTGATTTTTATGTAAGCAAGAAACACACTTTGAGTTAAACTGCTGAGATATCAAGATTATTTTGTTACTGCAGCATAACCTATCCTATCCTAACTAATACAGTCACTGCACAATATATTTTGCAGTCAAATTGTTCATTTGTTATATTCTCAGAACATTATGAAAAGGTGGGTTTAGTATTAAGGAGGTTGATTTATTTTGAAAAATCAACTAATTGTACTCATAATCTCCATTTCCTGTCCCACAGTGAATTCTGGGTTAGATGAGAAAAGGATAATGGTATTAATGAGAACATCAATATTCAGCATAAATAATTATGTGAAATAATGATATAAAGATGTATATTATCTGTAGTATCTAGCTCATTAGTCTACTTCCTTTCTAGAATGGCTTTATAAGCCTCTCTTACTCATGTTATGGAGCATGAAGAACACAAGTAACTTGAAAAGATAATGCAAGTAGTAGATGCCAGGAAGAAATCACTGTGAAAGAAGAGCCCCCACTTAAAGAGGTTGCAAAAAAGTTTACAGGAAACCCAAAGAGAGGTCATTAAGAATTTTGTTTCCAACTATAGAGAAGTAGGTAATTATCTTGTTACATCTCTGTACAGAGCAGAAAAAAAAGAAAAAATAATTTTTATAGTAATATCTGGAATTCATATAGGTATGCACATGTCAAGGCTGTGCTACTTGTGCAAATTTTTAAAAATATGCAAGGTTTCAGGTGACTTTTATTAGAACTTTTATCTATTCAGTATAGTTTTACCTAGATAAGTATAAGGAGGTAACTTAAAGAGAGAGTATCAAGGAAAACAATGAGAAACTGACCTTGGAATGAGTGATATGAATTTCATACAATTAAATAAAAAGAGAGAGTTTTATCTAACACTATCTGAATTTCTGATACTTACCTGTTTTTTGGCATGCTCACCATGTCAGAAGGTACGTAAATCTCAAGATTTCCTGAGCCTGAAGGGGATAGTGTTTTTTTTGTTTTGTTTTGTTTTGTTTTGTTTTTTAACAGATCTTCTCTGAACATACATCCAAAGATTCATCTGGTGCCACTTGTCAGTTTTATCTCTTCTTTACCAGACTTCTGCAAATGAGAATTTCAGCCTAGAGATTATCTTATCGAAAGGTAGATAGATCACCAAGCATCCCCTTTTTTTTTTTTTTTTTTTTTTTTTTACAGTTCATTGCCATTTAGGATACTTAAAGGAAAACTCTGGGACAGTGTCTCTGTCTAAGGAGATTAGATAGCATTTCTTCTCATTGGTGGCAGCAAATCTTCAAGGTACAATTGCTAGACCAGAAATGCCACTCTTTGTAAGTTGACAGAGACATTGCATCCTGAATGGTAAAGCACCGGATTTAAGAGAGAACACTTATCATTCTTTTAATGAATACGTTTTGGAATACTTATTATGGTGTAGACTCTAAGGATATGTAGGCAAAGTCTCTCTTCTCATAGATCTTCTATTTTAGTGATGGAGGAGCTATGGGGGAAATAGTAAACAAATAAAAAGTTAGCTTATTTAACTGATACTAAGATACACATTTGTTTTTCACATTTTAGAAATTTTGAAGTCAGATGCTGGTAACAATTAATGATGTCTTTCTCACCACTGGCAAGGCAGCAGGAGTATTGTAGCTGTCATTTCCAAACTTCAAAGAGGGCCATATTGTTGCCATTTCAGTTAAGTTACATGCACTATTAGTATTACACAAGTCTGATTGCCATTTAAAATATTTTGAAAAGATTGCACTTTGATTTGACATTAAAACAAGAAGTTATTGTTGCTGCAGAAAGGACAGAAACAGAGCAGTGAGACCTAAATTTGATATTTACAAAACTAATATTGTTTTGAAGGAAAGACTGACTACAACTTCATGTTTTATTGCAAAACAATGAACAATATATTTTCTTATTTATGTTTGTACAAGGTGACATATGATAAAAATCATTGTCTACATAAATCCAAAAGAGCACTTATAATTAAGTGTATAATCAGAATTCAAAATGATAAGCAAATATTGTGTCAGTTTAATTGGCAGCATTTAGCTTTCTTAGAATACACAAGATAATGTGCATCTTATAATTGATGGCCTTTTTGATTCAATGAAATATAATTAATAAACCAAAAGTATCAGAAGGTTAGAAGGTCTGTAAAAAGAATAAAACATGATGAAGTGATAGGTAATAGCTGTAGCCAGGGGAGGGGAGGAACTTTAGACAGGTGGTCTAAGAAGGTCTCTCTGAGGATGTTGGAGCCAAAGCTTGAATGACAAAAATGAGCCATGCTCTAAGAAGGGTATTCAAGAAGAAGAGCAAAGTCAAAGTCCTTGAAGGTGAACACACATGGTTTATTCGAACAGAAAGAAGGCTAGTATAGTTGAGTATAGGGAAGACTGATGTAAGGACATTTCATCTTCTGTTGTGTCTTAGCAGCCAGAGGCATTAATTTATGTTGCTCAGATACTGCCCTTTCCAGAGCTAATATCTCTCTAGCCATTTGGAGAAAAGTGGGTTAATCTCTTGCCCACCTGGAGTTATTTCTGCTGCTTCTGTGCACCACTGTCAGCACTGCTGCAGCCACTGTTCATTCACTTTGAGGCACATCACCACCTAGAGAACCAAACATCTCATTACAATGTCCCTGCTCTTCCTTGGGGCCAGTGCCTCCTGAACGCCTCATCTCACAAGAAACTGTGGTTGCATTAGACTTCACTTGAAGTTTTGGTAGAGAAAAGGGGGGGATTACAAATGACCTTAGAATGTAGAGGGTTATTCTGCCTCATCATATACCCCTTGTATTCTTCCATCTGCTTGAATTTCTGCAGATTGCAGCCTCCTATTGTGCTACTTGGCCCTTAGTTCTTTCTCTCCACTTTCTTATTCTCTATCTTTCATGCTCTGTCAACCCCCTTTAATTCCCTATGCTGAGTGGTTTACCTATTTCTTTCTTGTTAGCTCCTTTTTTTTTTTTTTCAGAGGTCTTGTTGCCCAGGTTGGAGTGCATTGGTGCAATCTTGGCTCACTGCACCCTCTGCCTCCTTGGTTCAACCGATTCTCCTGCCTCAGCCTTCCAAGTAGCTGGGATTACAGGCATGCGCCACCATGCCTGGCTAATTTTTTTGTATTTAATAGAAGCACGGTTTCACCATGTTGGCCAGGCTAGTCTTGAACTCCTGACCTCAGGTGATCCACCCACCTCAGCCTCCCAAAGTGCTGGGATTACAGGCGTGAGCCACTGCACCCAGCCTGTTATCTCCTTTTAACTCTTGACTTCGTGTTTCACGCTCTACCTCCAAAACACTGATTACAGTATTTAACTTGAAGTTTCTTCTTTAGGAGGATCTCAGGTGGCAACTTCTAAGATGGCAATTTTTGCACCCTGCTGCTTTAAGGAAGCATCTGATGCTGGTGCACAATGCTCCCTGCAACCATTATAGCAAGGTGGTATACTACGATGTTTTCCTTCTCCTCTGTGTTACAAATGAAAAAGAGAACCTGCTCCTGGAGACATGACTGGAAAAGCATGTATTTATTTCTGTGTGTCTGCTCATGATTCAAGATGATCACAGGAGGAAACGTTGCAGGTTAAGGGAAAGTTGACAAGAAGTGCTGTTAAATCTTTATGCGGCTGTTATGTGTCAGTGCTTCCTCATCATTAAACCACTCTCCAGGGTGCCTAAATAGCTGCCACACAGTGCTACCTGCAAAGATAAAAAAGGTTGAAGTTGCTGAAAGGAAAAAAGAAAAAAAAAAAAGATGATGACAGTGACAGAGTGGGATGTTAGTTCCTGGGTAAATATAAAGCTCCAGTTTGAGGCAGAGCTCTGTATTATGCTCTGTCAGGTTCCTTACAATTTGCTGTGTCTCTTATATTTTTAAAATTCTATGTGCGTTTCCAGTTTATTTCAAAATGTTCAATATATAACTGCAGAACATGTGCGATGTTTACTATAAGGCCGGTGGTCACAGCCTTAATTTGGAAACTCTGCTCTATCACTGGATGTACGGAGTTTGCATTTCTAGGTCACCATGAGGATAATTTAATTTCTGAATTCAATATTGTAATTAAGAATTATGAGCAGCAATAATAATGGTAACAGCAAAAATAACAATCACTGCCATTTATTGGGCATTTTTATGTGTTGGACAATGCCAAGAACTTCATGTGCATTATCAATGTGCATTATTTCATTTAATCCTCACAGTAAATCTTCCAGGTAGGTATGATTCTTGCCCTCATTTTAAAGGTCAATAAGTTGACACTTATTGAGGTAAAATAAATTTCCCAAGTAAGAGGCCAGAATTCCAAACCAGAGTTTTCTCATTCCAGAACCAATTCTATACTGCTTCTTCTGAATCAGTATTTTTTATAGCGAATATATTTTATTCATTGTTTTTGACAGACTTGCAAAGGAAAGCAGAAATACACACGCAATCATGCATGGAGCCATCTATTTGTGCCAGCCTTTTTATGTGTCTAGAGGGTCTCAGCTGGGGATGCCACTGTAGTCTAGAGATGTTTGAAAGCAAAATCGGTGTTTTGTTTGCTGTGATGAATGGAGGGTACCACTAGCATTTAGTAGAGATGAACCAAGGAGTAGGTGGAGCTGTGTTTGGGCACAAATTTCAAAGTATACTATGCAGCATTTTTGATAGATTAATCAATTTTTATGCACACCAGCTTTTAATCTTTCATTTTTCTTATTCAAGGTGGCATATCCTTTACTAAGGTATGACTCACCTATTCCACATTTTTTTCAATGGGCACAGGTAATGTCCCTTTATACTCGTCTCTCCTTCTCAGGTGGTCCAGGGTAGATTTAACACTTAATCAGATGTAGTAGACAGAAACTGGGGCTGGGTGGGTGGGGAAGCTGGGATGCTGCAGAGCTTTAACAGCAGCCCTGTGTGTTGCCATGTTTGTGCTAATTCTTCTGGATTAGTTCCTGATCATGACTCATTGACCCATGGGAATTCCTATGACCCAAGCTGGGCCAATCACTTTCTCCTCAGTATTTGTAACAGGAATGGAGAGAGGCAAAGAGATGAAATGTATTAGAACACTAAATACCAATACTAACGCTAATAGCTAAATAACTAAATGGCAGTGCTGTCAGCTAAGAGAAGTTCCATACATTTCTGTGCTGATGTTCTCAGAGATGCCCTGGGTGTTACCTTACTTATCATTCATCTTAGCATTGGTTGGTTGTTCCTATTCATCTTTATTTTTTGAGCTTTGTGTCCTTCACACACACACATGCACACACACACACGTATTCATACCACTGTTTAGCACATACATAAACACACATTTTGAATAAGTCGTAATAATTTTCATTGCTTGCAAAACCAACAAATGAAACCTTGGCTTGTATGCATTGAATCAGGACTGGATGTGATGGTAAAGGCTATTCTTTGCAGTTACCTCTGCATAGATAGTTTAAAATGTAATACATGTGTGATGTTAATGCTTGTTCAAACCAGGTTCGAATCCAGATTTCCCCACAGCACAATTCCCTTCAAAAAGTGAATCTGGCTTCATCACTTTTTCCCCTTGTGTCTATAATAGTGGTTTTCTGACTTGTTGCATATTAGAATCACCTGGAAACTTTCAAAACTCTCTAAGTCCTGATCACACCTCCTACTAATTATAATAATCAGAAGGTCGATGGGTGGGATCTAGGCATCAACATCTCAAAAGATGTCCAGGCAATTCCAATGTGCAGCAAAATGTGGGAATCATTCACTGAAAAGACAACTGGCTTCATTGCCTGGCCTCCAGCTCCCACTTCAGCCTCAAATCTTGCCACTTCCTACCTCACACTTTAAGTTCTTATTTGATGTTTTTCTACCTTTGTTTAGTTTTTCTCTTTGAAGAGCTCTTTTTGTGGAGTAAAACAGGAAAAAGCCGAGCTAGTGTGGGTATGGGCACGGGATTCGTGCTGCTAGAGGGCCTTGTATCCCTGAAGGTCTTTCTGAACTCCCCTTCTACCCTCAAAAAACTTCATAGAGGAGAGGTTAAAACTCTGCTGCTGTATCACCAAGGCTTCCTGTGCAGTTGTGAGAGCTCATGTAATTTTTTACTCTGAGGGTATCATCGCTTGTAAAGGATTTTTTTTTCTAAATTGGAGTGCTTTCCATCTATTCCTGTATTAACTATTTTTACTTGCATTGAGGTATATGCTGCTATATAGGAAAGAAAGGGGCAAAGTTGTAAATGATGCTTGAGGATGAGCACATCTCTCAACCTCTGCTAGCAGAGAACTGTACAATGATTGATGTGAGCATGTCAGTTATATAGCACCTGTCACATTATGTAGATATGCTCTACATATATGTTCCTCTCTTACTAGACCTTAATCTCCTTAAGAACAGAAATAGCATCCTAATTATGTTTATTTCTTTAGCGTCTAGCATAATGCCTAGCACATAGTAAGTCATCAACAAAGATTGTTTTTCTCCTTAAAAACTGTTAAAACAATTGGAATTTGTTTGGGTGTAAAAAGACCCGATGAATAGTGTATATCTTCCCCACCTTGTACAAACAAAAGGACAAGATAAACTGGTAAAACTGATACTGATGATGTCTTTTAGAAGTGAGGTTTCTTACTGCTTATGGGGTCCCAGTATTAGATCCTAGCCCTGTTGGACTGGAGGAGGGCGTCCCTGTGTCCTGCTCCACTGAAATCCAGGCAGGGAGGAGCACAGGAGAGTTTGTGCCTCCAGCTTACAGGCTGCTCTGTCCCAAGTGCAAGGGCAGTAAGGACTATGCATGGCCAGATTTTTATTCCAAATTCATTGCGTGTAGACTAAGTTTCTCTTTTGTGGGAATGAGTAAAGGAGCAGTGATAGGCTAAGGATATGAGGCTAGTGGAGTTCTCTCCACATGAAAGGAAATGTCAGGAGTGGCAGGAAAGGATTTCCCCTCTCCTTCCCCGCTACTGTGACCACATTGGTTGCTCTGCATTGCTGCAACCTTAACCTAAGAGCTGTGCTCTTTATTGCATGATATGTATGAGGTTACAAATGCTTGTTCTATGTAACGATGTCACTGTTATTCTAGTTTTCTGAATTGAATATCTGGTACCATAAATGTGCAGTGACACCATTACTGTTGGTCATAGTATGAACAACTTTATCCATTGCCTACCTTCAGCATCAGGAGTGGTCATGCCGTGCATTTGCTAATAAAATTATAGGAAGTTTGATATTTTGCAAATAAAGTTATGAGGATATTTTGTCCTCTAAAAAAGTCATTGGTAAATACACAGTAAAGTAATAGCATGTAATTTGATTCCTAAAATGTTCCCAGTAGTGGGACATTCTGGAGAGCCTATAAACAAGAAACATCTTGGGATAGTGTCATGTGGTTTTATTTGAACCTAGGTCTGAGTACATATAATACATAACTGCTATTTTCAAGTAAATATGTCCCTGACAATTTTCATATGAACCGTTTAAAAATCTGAAATTGAAATCTCTCACAAGCATTTTCGTTAAGGTAGAAATTCTCTCAGTATGATGTAGTAATAATAATAATAAACAGAAATAGACAGAAAAAAGGTGCATGAGTCCTTTTTTTAATTATTTGAAGCCCTTTATATGTATTGTTTCTTTTGATCCACAAACCAACCCTTTGAAATATATATTTAGCCCTATTATCAGATAAAGATACTTAAATTTAGAGAGGTTAAGTAATATACTCAAGGTCAAATAGCTGGTAAGCAGGAAATTCAGACTCCAGAGCATGTGCTGCTTGACCTCTGAGCCATGCTGTGAAGGAGACACATTTTCTAACCATCAGTGAGGCTCATTACTAACATATTACTTTCATATCAGTCTTTCTCTTCCATTATGACTTAATGCAATAAGCTACTAAGTGTCGGCTATTCCTGAAACTTAACAAGAGTGCCCAAGGGAGAAGTTGAAATTCTTTAGTCAACACAAAAAGCTTAATTATAAAGATGGGCATTATCAGAGTCCTCCTTTGTTGTAGCAGTTTTAACAGTAAAAGGAGATAATTCTGAATATTATTGTCTGTGACTCACCTGACGTAAAAGAAATACTAGCTAAATGATCATTTTTTTTATATTCTTCTTGAATAGTCACAAAAGTTATTTTACTGACTTGTCTGGACTCTTTAAATTTCTTTATCTTAAATCTTTTAATAATTTCTGTGAACAGGGAAGCCTGCATGTGGAGTGCAGCTTTGCTGGAGAAGGAAACCCTCATTTTTTTAGTGCCTTTAGGAAACAGTAGGGTTTAGACTAGAGGCAATATTTTAAAAAGCTCATTAAATTATTAAAACAATCACATTTGCTTGTCAAAACTTTGCTTCACCATAAACTAGTAAAAAGCATCTAAACTTTTTCTAGACACTTGGATAAGGAAAATAAGTTTTATGAATCCATCCTGAAAAAATGAGAAATGAATGTGAACATGACTAATTTAATGAATATCAGCATTTATAATATTTACACGTGGTGAAGATGAGGGCCTTAAATGTCTGTTCGTTTTGTACTTTACAGGAATATCTTCTGAGACCACTCTAATGGAAGTTGATACAGGACTTCCAGTAAAAGGGAATTCACCACCATATTATACAGCCCGTTCACAGTTAGTGGCTCAATATTAAGAAAGTCCTTTTATGCCTTAAATGGAGTATACCTCCTAGAAATGCCCACGAATTGCTCTGACTTTTATTTCTACAGTGCATATGCAGCCTTTCCTCCCTCTTATCTGGCTTGGTAAATTTAAAGTCACTTTTCTTCAGAATTCTGTTTAGGACCTTTCTCTTTCCACTCTGTACATTTTCTTAGGGGTGATCTCATTTGTACTCATCCTTGCAATTACCATCTGTATGTTATTGATTGTTCCTCCTCAGCTGGACTTTTACATCGATATCTCACTGCTTATTAGACATCTCACTTCCATATTTCACCAATATCATATATATTTCTTCATATATATAAACTCAGTATGACCAAAAATAATCACTTTTTCCTGTTAAATGTGCTCTTCCTTCTGTGTTTCATACCTTTGTGAATTAACTACAGAAGTACTGAGATAGTTGGGCCTTTGCCAGTTAGAAGCAAGTTTTTTATTATTTTCCTCAATTAGCTAGAGTCAGCACCCAATGACTACAACAGATACTAAAACAGAAAAAAGAAGTAAGTGGTATTAAAGAAATTTAAAATCCCATGAAGAATATAACACAAAGGAATACAGGTATGTCCAGAACAAAGGACATTTGAAAAATCTTTCAAAGTCTGCATTAAAATTGTAAGCCTTGCTAACAAGTAATTTATTTTTCCTTTGAATTCATGAATTCAGAATAAAGGCAAAAGAATGCCACTTTAAACATATTTAATTGGCTAAACTCATGGCTTCAGGATATTATTGACTCATCGTTTACTATGTTTAAAAATTGATCAAATACTTATTAATAATAGATGCCTGTACTCATTATTTAACATTCAGTAGGCAACTATAGTTTTTGTCTTCATAGACTAATAAAGCAGTGGTGTGAGAAATTAACTAGATATTTCAAGAACTTTTTCCTTGAATTGTCTAGACAATTGCCCTGCTACGCTGTTTGCTTTTCATATGCAAACCAGGAAATAGAATGTATTATTTTCTTTTTTAAAGGCTCTGTTATAGAAAAAAAAGAAAAATGACATTATTGTTTAAAAGCAGCTTCCTGGCTAATAATAAAGACCTAAGCATTACTTCCCAATTATCAAATAACTTCTGTTATGGTCGAAGCTTTTAAAATGCTATGCTGCTGGTCTCTTATTTTAATTTTGTGTTTGCTGTTGGTTTTGATTTTTTTGAAACAGAAGTGGATTATTTCTCAGATAGGATACTATATTTTCACTACCATGGAAATTCCTAGGAAAACATTCTTTCTTTAAAAGGAGAGGAAAAACAAACTCCCCAGTGGTTTTAATTCTTGGGATTAACATTAGTAGGGACAAAAATGTAAATACAGCTGTGTGTAGTGAATAGGAGATCCAGGGTCCTCCATCAATAATCCTCGTCCTTACATGTCTAGGACCTAGTAATTTTTTTTTTCTGATATAAAATTTCTTTCTATCTATCTTTTTGTTTCCTATTCCCTTTATACATAGAGAGTCATCAGGATCAACACAAGTTGTACAAATCCAAAACTGGTAGTCCAAAAACTGAAGTTAAAGGCATGTGTATTTTCCTTTCACAAGACTTTTGATTACCTGAAGAAAATTTAAAAAAAAATTGTTTGTATTATAAGTTGTATTTTCAGTATTACATAATGAAGTGGCCTCATTGTCTGGGGTTATACCCGAGGTTCCTTTTCTCATGGTCTAGGAAGTTAAGGACATGGACACATAAAGAGTGAGGTTAAGAGCAGAAGTTTAATAGGTGAAAGAAAGAGGATAGCTCTCTGCTGGAGAGAGGGGTCCCAGAGAAATGGGTTGCTGGTTCTGCTGTGAAATGCAAGGGGGTTTATAGATGCCTGGTGAGGAGGCAGTGTCTGATTTGCATAGGGTTCAAAAGATTGGTTGGACCAGGTGTGCCATTTGCATAAGTTGCATAAAGAAAAGCTGGTTAGGACTAAGTGTGCCATTTGCACAAATTTCTGGCCTCCCCAACCCTAATCTTTTATTATGCAGATGAGTTCTCTGCCTGACCTGCACCATGTTGCTTATTCCTTTACTATAACAAAAAAAAAGAGGAAAAATGGAGCCTTCATGTTAGATATGTCTGGCCCCAAGGTAGCCCTTTTCTGTTGGCACAGCTGCCAGCATTCCCCTGTGCAAGCTTCCAGCTTGCTTGTCTATGTTTACAGTTTGATTTTTCAGGCTGCTCTTTGTTAGAAAAAAATAATTTCTTGGGGCTGCTTTTTGTTAAAAGGGAAACTCTGCTAAGGACTCTTTTACCCTCACTATCTGCCTAAATAATTGCTTTCTACCTCTTGTATCAATAAGACCAGTATAAAAACACTTGGATATCCCTAGGTTTGCTACTATATTATCATCAGATGTGTCTAATTTCATGGGTATCAGTTTCAACTATGAAATTAGATAATATTCCTCCAAAAAGGATTTTTTGAAGAATGAAATGAATAATGTATGTGAAAAATCTAGATTAATATTTGGTACATATTTGGAGCTCAAAATAAGTTTGAAATGATTATGAGTCTCACGTTTCTCATCCATAAAATAATGAAACTGTATCAGTGCTACTCCAGGTATAATTTGCAAACCAGTGATGCACCGTAAACTAACTGGTCCTTAATGAATTAAGTACAGAAATTGAGAGTGTGTACACACATTTTACACAATTTGCAAGATTAACTTTATGTCTATTTAATCTAAAAATTAAAAACTGGAACTTGTATTCTTGTAGGTTTTTCTTTTTTATTATTTCATTTTGTAGTAATTCATTTTTTACTATGTTCCACAAAATTGTTGGACTATAGTACGTTGAAAATTTAGAAAGAAAAAGCTGATTTTTCACTAACTAAAAGGTAGTTTAGTATCACTGGACCAGTTGACCTCTATGATATTCTTTCTAGTTCTAAATGTCTGTAATTCTGGATAAACGATACACTTCTTTTTTTCTGAGCACGGTGAAATGTATTCACAGCAAATACAGATGTTCTTAGTGAAAATTACTTCACGAATTAAAATTCCAAATATGTACCCCTTAATATTTATTCACAGTGACACCTGGATTAGAAAGGACATTATAGGTGTCTGAAGAAAAGAATAATGTGTCTCCATTGTTGATAATCAAATTAAACTTTCAATTTGTTCTTTAAAATCTAATTCGTTTGGATTCAAAGATCTGTTTTTAATGAAAAGCAGTGGGAGACTACAAAACAGTGGTGACATGTGCTGTCACTCTGTATCTTCAATTGCTTTTGTTGGATTAAATAGGAAATCATTTACTTCTCAGAAACACTGCTTCCTGTCATTTAAATGTCCTGCCATGGGAGGTCAGGTTAGTCAATGCAGTTTTATTGTGGGCCTGCTACGTAAAAGACTCTGTTTTACATTTGAGCTGTGGAGGAGAACAAAGCCAAATATTAATTATTGCATTCAAAGGACTTCTGATCTACTTTGGGAGTAGGGCATGTACAAAGGGGGAAAAAATCACAGTAGTAGGCTCCTTGTGACAGGATAGTGGGAAAAAAATCACAATAGTTGGCTCCTTGTGACAGGATAGTGGGAAAAACCTAAGGAGTTCAGAAGTACCATTTCAAGAGGAATGGAGGGCCCCCTGCAGGGATGACTCTTTACTGAGAGAAATAATTAATAAAGAAACAGAATGGGAAGATATTGTGCCATATGGAGAGAAGAATACCATCAAATTCTCGAGATAGTAAACATACACAAAATGATCTTTGCAGATAGTTTGATGGCTGCCAAGGTTTGTTGGGGAAATATTAAAAGATAATATTGAATAACAAAAAGGATAAATGATCGAAGGCCGTTGGTGCCAGGTCAAGAATTTGAACTTATGCTATTCTGTAATAGGGTCACACTAAAGATTTTTAAACTAGGAATGACAATTTTAAACTAGGAATTTAAGTAGGATTAACTAGGAATTTTAAACTAGGATTTTAAACTAAGAATGACAAATAAAAATATACTTTTTGGAAATGTTAATCCAGTGGCATGGTAAACAAAAATTAGACTGAAAGGATAATTGGAAACCAGATAGATGCCAATTGCAACAATTTAGCCATCAAGTAATGAAAGCCTTTGATTGGGATGATGATAGTGGCAATGTAAGGGGCAATGCTATACCTTCTGAAAAAATAATCAATGCAATTTAAGGATGGCTTTGGAAGAAAAACTGAAAGAAAGTGCTATAAGTCAGCCTTGACTTTCCACAACTAGAAAAGAAATGGTCTGAAAAATCATAGGACATATATATGTTCCAGTTCTCAGAAGGAATTTTTATATATAATAGATAATATTAATATATTAATTTAATTAATAATTATGATACTATGTAATATAAATATATAATAACTTATATATTATATAATTTAATTATATAATATATAATAATTGCTTATATATTATATAATTATGTACTATATAATAATTGATTATATATATAATATAATTATATAATATATAATAATTGATTATATAGTACATAATTATTTATATTATATATAATATATAATTTCTTATATATTATATTTTATCATATATTATATATAAATATATAATATATATTTCTATTATATTTATATATTATATTATAATATTAATAGATATTATATATTATATATCGATATATATATCGATATATAATTATATATATCTATTAATATATTATATATTAATATAATACATAATATATTATATTAATATATTATATATTATATCAATATATTATATTAATATATTATATATTATATCAATATATTATATTATATATTATATCAATATATTATATTAATATATTATATATTATATCAATATATTATATTATATATTATATCAATATATTATATATTATATCAATATATTATATCAATATATTATATATTATATCAATATATTATATTATATATTATATCATATTATATATTATATCAATATATTATATCAATATATTATATATTATATCAATATATTATATATTATATCAATATATTATATCAATATATTATATATTATATCAATATATTATATTAATATATTATATATTATATCAATATATTATATTAATATATTATATATTATATCAATATATTATATTAATATATTATATATTATATCAATATATTATATTAATATATTATATGTTATATCAATATATTATATTAATATATTATATATTATATCAATATATTATATTAATATATTATATATTATATCAATATATTATATATTATACCAATATATTATATTAATATATCAATATATTATATATTATATCGATATATTATATAATATATTATATTATTTTATTATATTAATAAATTATATTATTTTATTATATTGTTTTATTATGATATATTATTATAATATATATTATAATAATATATTATGTATATAATATACTTAATATTATACATAATAATATATATGTATATTAATATATAATATATTATAATATATAATATATTATATATTAATATTTATAATATATAATATATTATATATTAATATTTATAATATATAATATATTATATATTAATATTTATAATATATACTATATAATAATATATATTAATATATTAATAACATAATAATATATAAATTAAGGAGATGGTGAGGAGGTGAGTATAGCATTAAATACTATACCATAGCAAGTTAGCAATGGGATATCAATGATTAGACACTTGCTTACTAAAATGAAGAGCAAGGCAAGGATGTCCCCTCTCACTACTCCTTTTTAACATGGGACTGGAAGTCCTGGCTAATGCCATTGGACAAGAAAATGAAACAAAATTGTACTGATTGGGAAGTGTCTAAGTTTAGGTTACAAGATAACATAAACTGAATGACTTAAACAATAGTTAGTTATTTCTCACAGCTGTATGCTGGGAAGTCGAAGATGAACTTGCTAGGTTGATTAGGTTTCTTGTGAGAGTCCACTTTCTGGTTTGTAGATGGCCATCTTCTCATTGTATCCTCACATAGCCTAGAGTAGAGAGGAGAAGCAAGCTCCCTTGTGTCTCTTCTTATAAGGGGACTAATTCCATTCATGAGGGCTCCACTCTCATGATCTAATTACCTCTCAAAGACTCCATCTACAAATGCCATTATACTGAGGATTAGGCTTCATAATCCAACTTGGAAGGGGCACAAACATTCAGTCCATAGCAGGAAGAAATACAATTTTCTTTGTTCACAGATGACATGATTATCTATGTAGAAAATCTGAAAGAATGGACAAAAACACTCTTGGAATTAATAAATGGTTATAGTAAGGTTGTAGGATACAATCTTAATATACAAAATTTAGTCACTTTACAATAAACCAGCAATGAACAAGTGGAACTTAAAACTAAAAATATTCTCTTTGCTTAGTCTTGCTTTGGCTCTGCAGGCTCTTTTTTGGTTCCATATGAATTTTAGGATTGTTTTTTCTACTTCTGTGAAGAATGATGGTGGTATTTTGATGAGAATTGTGTTGAATTTGTAGATTGCTTTTGGCAATATGGCCATTTTCACAGTATTGATTGTACGCATCCATGAACATGGGATGTGTTTCCATTTGTTTGTGTCATCTATAGTTTCTTTTAGCAGTGTTTTGTGGTTTTCCTTGTAGAGGTCTTTCATCTCCTTGGTTAGATATATTCCTAAGTATTCTATTTATTTTGCAGTTATTTTAAAAGGGGTTGAGTTCTTGATTTGGTTCTCTGCTTGGTCGCTTTTTGGTGTATAGAAGAGCTACTAATTTGTGTACATTAATTTTGTGTCTGGAAACTTTGCTGAATTATTTTATCAGTTCTAGGAACTTTCTGGAGGAATCTTTATGGTTTTCTACATAAGCAATCATATCATCAGCAAACAGTGACAGTTCAACTTCCTCTTTACCAATTTGAATGCCCTTTATTTCTTTCTCTTGTCTGATTGCTGTGGCTAGGACTTCCAGTACTATGTTGAAGAGAAGTGGTGAGGGTGGGCATCCTTGTCTTGTTCCAGTTCTCAGAGGGAATGCTTTCAACTTTTCTTCATTCAGTATTGTTTTGACTGTGGGTTTGTCATAAATAGCATTTATTACATTGAGGTATGTCCCTTGTATGTCGATTTTGCTGAGAGTTTTAATCATAAAGGGATGGTGGATTTTGTCAAATGCTTTTTCTCTGTCTATTGAGATGATCATTTGATTTTTGTTTTTAATTCTGTTTATGTGGTGTATCACATTGATTGACTTGCATATGTTAAACCATCCCTGCATCCCTGGTATGAAACCTACTTGATCCTCATGGATTATTATATTGGTCCGTTTGCACACTGCTAATAAAGACATACTCGAGACTGGGAAGAAAAAGAGGTTTAATTGAACTTACAGCTCCACATGGCTGGGGAGGCCTCAGAATCATGGAGGGTGGTGAAAGGCACTTCTTACATGGCAGCAGCAAGAGAAAATGAGGAAGAAACAAAAGCAGAAACCCCTGATAAACCCATCAGATCTTGTGAGACTTATTCACTATCATGAAAATGCCACGGGAAAGACCGGCCCCTATGATTCAATTACCTCCCCCTGGGTCCCTCCCACAATGCATGGGAATTCTAGAAGTTGAGATTTGGGTGGGGCCACAGCCAAACTATATCAGTGATCTTTTTGATGTGTTGTCTGATTTAGTTAACTAGTATTTTGTTAAGGATTTTTGCATCTATGTTCATCAGGGATATTGGTCTGTAGTTTTCTTTTTTTGTTATGTCCTTTCTTGGTTTTGGTATTAGGGTAATACTGGCTTCATAGAATGACTTAGGGAGGATTTCCTCTTTCTCTGTCTTGTGGAATAGTGTCAATCAAATTTGGAGGCATCACATTACGTGATTTCAAACTATACTATAAAGCCATAGTCACCAAAACAGCGTGGTACTGGTATAAAAATAGGCACATAGACCAATGGAACAGAATAGAGAACCCAGAAATAAACCCAAATACTTACAGTCAACTGATCTTCGACAAAGCAAACAAAAGCATAAGGTGGAAAAGGACACCCTATTCAACAAATTGTTCTGAGATAATTGGCAGGCCACATGTGGTAGAATAAAACTGGATTCTTATCTCTCACTTTATACAAAAATAAACTCAGAATGTATCAAGGGCTTAAATCTAAGACCTGAAACTATAAAAATTCTAGAAGATAACATTGGAAAACCCTTCTAGATGTTGGCTTAGCCAAGATTTCATGTCCAAGAACCCAAAAGCAATTGCAATAAAAACAAAGATAAGTAGCTGGGACTTAATTAAACTAAAGAGCATGACAAAAGGAACAGTCAGCAGAGCAAGCAGACAACCCACAGAGTGAGAGAAAACCTTCACAATCTATACATCTGACATAGGACTAATATCCAGAATCTACAACAAACTCAAACAAATTAGCAAGAAAAAAAACCAACAATCCCATCAAAAAGTGGGCTAAGGACATGAATAGACAGTTCTCAAAAGAAGATATACAAATGGCCAACAAACAAATGAAAAAATGCTCAACATCACTAATGATCAGGGAAATGCAAATAAAAACCACAGTGTGATACCAGCTTACTACCACAAGAATGGGCATAATAAAAAAATCAAAAATAATAGGTGTTGGTGTGGATGCGGTGGACAGGGAACACTTCTACACTGCTAGTGGGAATGTAAACCACTACAACCACTGTGGAAAACAGTGTGGAGGTTTCTTAAAGAACTAAAAGTAGAACTACCATTTGATCCAGCAATCCCACTACTGGGTATCTACACAAAGGAAAAGAAGTCATTATATGAAAAAGATGCTTGCGCACACATGTTTATACCAGCACAATTAGCAATTGCAAAATCATGTAACAAACCCAAATGTCCATCAATTATATATAGTATATAAATTAATGCTATTACTTATTAATAATATTAATTCATTCCTTTTTATAGATGAGTATTCCATCATATATGTGTATATTTATATACACATATATGACTATATATAGTAGTATTCCATCATATATAGTCATATATATATGTATATACATACATATATATATATATGATAGAATGCTACTCATCCATAATAAGGAATGAATTAATGGCATTCATGGTGAGCTGGATGAGATTGGAGACTATTACTCTAAGTGAAGTTACTCAGGAATGGAAAAGCAAACATTGTATGTAATCACTCATAAGTGGGAGCTAAGCTATGATGATGTAAAGCATAAGAATGACACAGTGGACTTTGGGGTCTCAGGGAAGAGGGTGGGGAGGGGGTGTGGGATAAAAGACTACAAATTAGGTGCAGTGTATACTGCTCGGGTGAGGGGAACACCAATATCTCACAAATCACCACTAAAGAACTTACTCATTTAACCAAACACCACCTATTCCCCAACAACCTATGGAAATAAAAAATTTGAAAAAACAAAAAAAAAAACCTAAAAATGTTATGATTTAAATTAGCACTTCCCAAAATGAAATACTTAAGTATACATCTAATGAAATATGTACGGGGTCTATATGAGGAAAACAACAAAACTCTGATGAAAGAAATCAAAGAACTTAATAAATGGAGAGATATTCTATGGTCATGTATAGGAAGATTCAATATTGTCAATATATTAGTTCTTTCCAACTTGATTCATAGATTCAAGTGGTAATCCCAATCAAAATCCCAACAAGTTATTTTTGGACATCAGCAAACTGATTCTAAAGTTTATATGGAGAGATAAATGACCGTGAAGAGATAATACAATATTAAAGGATGTGAAAACAAAGTTGGAGGACTGACACTACCCAACTTAAAGACTACCTATAAAACTATAGTAATCAAGATGGTGTGGTATTGTTAAAACAATATACCAATAGATCAGTGGAACGGAATAGAGAGCACAGAAATAGACCCATATAATTATAGTCAAGTGATTTATAACAGATCAAAGACAACCTAATGGAGAGAAGAGAGTCTTTTCTATACATGGTGCTAGAACAAGTAGGCATCCACATGCAGAAAAAAAAATGAATCTACACAGAGACTTCACACCTTTCACAAAAATTAACTCAAAATGGATCACAGACCTAAATGTAAAATGCAAAATTCTAAAATTCCTAGAAGATAATATAGGAGAAAATCTAGATGACCTCAGATGTGGCAATGACTTTTTAGATGTAATACCAAAGGCATGATCTTAGAAAGAATTAATAAGCTATACTTTATTAAAATTAAAAATTTTCTACTTTGTAAAAGACACCATAAAGAGAATGCAAAGACAAATCACACACTGGGAGAAGATATTTGTAAAATATCTATCTGTTAAAGCACTGTTATTAAAATATGCAAAGAACTCTTAACACTCAAAAATAAGAAAACAAATTAAAAGTTGGGCCAAAACCTTAACAGACACCTCACCAAAGAAGATATACAGATGGAAAATAAGCATATGAAATCATGTCATCAAGGAAATTCAGATTAAAACAGAAGTGAGATACCGCTACATACCTATTAGAATGGCCAAAATCCAGAGCAGTGATAACACCAAATGCTGACAAGAATGTGGAGCAACAGGAACTTTCATTATAGCTGGTAGGAATGCAACATGATACAGCCACATTGGAAGATCGTTTTTCTTATAAGACTAAGCATACTCTTATCATATGATCTAGCAGTCCTGCTCAGTGGTATTTACTCTAAAGAGTTGAAAGCTTATGTTCATTAAAAAAAAAAAAACACTGCAGTTGGATGTTTATAGCAGCTATGTTCATAATTGCCAAAACTTGGAAGCAACCAAGATATCCTTGTGTACATAGGTGAATGGATAAATGAACTGTGCTATCCAAACAATGGAATATTATTCAGTGCTGAAAAGAAATGAGCTGTTTTCACTGTCCACCCTCCTATTCTGAGTTATTTTTCACATTACATGCATCACTCTGTTATTCTGTTATTAGACTATATGTTTTTTGTTTGCCTCCCCTCCCCCATCCTTGCCAATGCAGAGTAAGCTCTCTGTAGGTAGGAGCTTCGATTTGGACATGGCAACATCCTCAGTGCCCACTATACTGTCTAGCTAAAAAGAGGTGTTCAATCATGTGTTTTCTTAATTATTAAAAATGAATTGATAGTACCTTCTAGATTTCTGAGGAAGTTATGTAATCTTTGGTATAGGCAATTTTCTCCATGAAGTACATTTTTCGAATGGCCTCTTCTAAAAAATATCAATGCCAGCCCAATGTTCTGACTTAATAATATCCTCTTTTGGTATTGTAGGTCTTATTCTTTTTTTTAACTTTTAAGTTCAGGAGTACATGTGCAGGTTTATTACATAGGTAAACATGTATCATGGAGGTTTGCTGTACAGATTATTTTTTACCCAGGTATTAAACCTAGTACCCATTGGTTATTTTCCCTGATCTTCTCCCTTCTCCCACCCTTCCACCCTCTACCCTCAGAAAAGCCCCAGTGTGTGTTTTTCTGCATGTGTGTCCATGTATTCTCATCATTTAGCTCCTACTTATAAATAAGACCATGTGTTATTTGTTTTCCTGTTCCTGTGTTAGTTTGCTAAGGATAATGGTCTCCAGTTCCATTCAGGTGCCTGCAAAGGACATGATCTCATTCTTTTTTATGGCTGGATAGTATTCCATGTCATATATGTACCATATTTTCTTTATGCAGTCTATCATCGATGGGCATTTAGGTTGATTCCATGTCTTTACCATTGTGAATAGTGCTACAGTGAACATTTGCATGCATGTGTCTTTATAACAGAAGAATCTATATTCCTTTGGGTATATACCTAGTAATGGGATTGCTTGGTCAAATGGTATTTCTGTCTTGATGTCTTTGAGGAGCTGCCACACTTCCACAATGGTTGAACTAATTTACACTCCCACCAACAGTGAATAAGCATTTCTTTTAAACTCACAAGAAAACTAACAACCCCATTCAAAAGTGGGCAAAGGACATGAATAGACACTTTTTAAAAGAAGGCATACATGCAACCAACAAGCATGAAAAAAAAAGCTCAACATTACTGATCATTAGAGAAATGCAAGTCAAAACCACAATGAAATACCATCCCACACCAATCAGAATGGCTATTATTAAAAAGTAAAAAAAATACAGGCCCTATTCTTAAGTTTTAAAAACACATTGTTGATTTAATCTTACTATTTCTGCATACATTTTCTTTAATTAATTGAATTAGGAAATATAATAAGTATCTTTGCATTTATAATTTTAGTAAATGACAGCCATCATGCAAGTGACAAAATTGTCTGGAAAGAAAACACATTGGTTTTACGTTCTTATTTGAGACTGAAGTATAATAAGCAGGATACTGCCAGTAAAATCCTCTTTCTGAAGACCTGAAATTTGCAGATGTATATTTCTCTAGCAAGCAATACAGGTTACAAGCTACTTTTTGAAGCAGGCATAGATGCAGTAATAGTAGATGTTTAAATATCTGACCTGTTTTACCGTGACTTATAACCGTGCTTAATTTTATAATTCCCACTTAATTATGAATTCTACATTTCAAGAAGTCATTTATTTACTCTACTTAGACTCCTAAAATGGATAATTTATCTAAAGTATGGAAGAAACATGTGCCTAAAATTTGCCTCTTCCTTGTCATCTTCAGCATTACTTTATTTTTTCCTAGTTTGAGTTTCTGTTAATGAAATATTGCCTAAGTTGTCCAGAACCTAAAATGGTATAGAATGGGGTTTACTTGTTCATAGAAAAATAATCAATACAGGGCCAGGCATGGTGGCTCACACCTGTAATCTCAGCACTTTGGGAAGCCAAGGCAGAAGGATTGCTTGAGCCTAGGAGTTCAAGACCAGTCTGAGCAACATGGCAGGACCCTGTCCCTACAGAAAAAATTTACCTAGGCATGGTGGCATGCAGCTGTAATCCCAGCTTCTCTGGAGGCTGAGTTGGGAGGATCACTTGAGCCTCGGGGAGGTGGAGGTTGCAGTGAGCCGTGATCACACCCACAACACCCTAGCCTGGGTGACCAGAGTGAAATCTAAAAAAAAAAAAAAAAAAAAGAATTAATAATTAATACACAGATCATATAAGATAGATTTGTTCCTAATGCTATTCAGGTGTAGATTTTAGTTTCTTCTGAATGGAAATTTTAAGAATTGGATAAGCGTAGGTAATAAACTATGAGTCTGTTAGGACTCATTGCTGTTTGTGTAGTTATAATCAGTGTTATTGTTATATTAATAAATACCTAAAATTCTTTTACTTTTACATAATAACCACTGTCAGAACATTTTCTTCCTGTAGAATTTTACTCAATAAACAAAAGCAATATATTTCTAGAATTGAAACTGTTTGCACTAGGACAAAAAAACATTTTTGGTAACATATGTAATGATTAAAGAGGATTTTTTTAGTTTTTATTCCTTCTATTCCAGTTGCCTTCAAAATATTTTATCCTGAGATTTCAGTTATTTTTGAACTCTTTCCTAGAACTCTTATAATCTCCTTGAGAAGGAGGGACAAAAATGCAAATAGACCCAACACTTAACCTCCTAGGTGCTGCCATCACCAAGCCACGGTCAGAGCTCAGTAACATCATTGCAGTGAATTTTAAAAAGTAGCAGATAAGGGGATTGGAGAAAAGACACAGCGTGGAGGATTTCTTTCACAGTTTCCTATGCCCGTACAAACCACAACCAAACTACTGTGTGGTCTTTTTAATTTTTAAGCATTCCTAAGTTTCTTGTCTCTATGTATGTAGTATGTAGTATGTAGTATGACCTGTGTAAGTTTCTTTTTTTTGTTGTTTTTTTTTTTGAGGAGAAAGCAGTTTTATTTCATATATTTTAGTAAAAACATATAAAATAGTATTAAGAAACAGAAATGCCTCATATTACTGGCATTTTTTCGGAGGTCTGAGATAACTACTACTCACAGTCTTTCGAATTCAAATTGGGTTGGATACAGTTCAAGTAATTTTTTTTTTAAATCTCAATTCTTTAATTTAATTTTTAAAAATTTTTAAACCATCAATTGCATTTTTATTTGTACAAATAATGTATAGAAAGAGCCTCATTGGCAGCACTTCTAACAATTCAAAGTGAGAATCAACTTCCCCAGCTTTCTAATCCTACTTTCTTGCTCAGAGGTTACCAAATCTCAGTTTAGGAAAATCTCCATACTTTCTTCTTTGTGTTTATGAAAACATGTATTTTATATGTAAGTGAATCATCTTATCTTGGTTCATAATGCTTTATTTTTAATTAAATTGATAGCTAACACTTATAATATTCCTGAGATTTTTTTTCTAAGCATTCAATATGGTTAGCTCATTTGATAATGTGATAGGAGCTGTTATTATGCCACTCTTACCAATGAGAAAGTTAAGGCCAGGAAAAATAAATGACCTGCTCAAGGTGATGAGAGGTGCACTGAGCACAGAATACCAGGCAGTCTGGATCCAGAGCACACTCTATTAACCTCTGCACTCTGCTATATTGAAAATAAGGCCACACCAAATGGACTACTTTGCAACATTCTTTTTTTTTTAACTTAATGATGTATCTTAGATAGTTCTCCGTGGCTTTCTATATAACCATAACTCATTAATTTTAATTATTAGCTAATAGTTCACAGCATGGACTATTCTAATTTATTTTGACATTGTCATGTGTATGGACATTAGGGGATTCCAGTCTTTCATTATTACAAATTGCAACAAATATTCTTGTATATTCTTTGTGCAAATGTTGCAGTATCTTTAACAGATACACCTAGAAGTAAAATGATGAGATAAAGCCTACGTACAATATTAAAATTTAATAGATGTTGCTAAATTTTGATCCAAAAAGACTTTTTTTTAGCATACATCAATAGCATTTATTGATGGGAAAGTATGGTCCAAGGGTCACATCATCTCATTTGATCACTTCAGTAACCCGATGAAGTATCTATTATTGTGCCTAACTTATGGATGAAGAGACTGAGGCTTAGAAAAGTAAAGAAACATCTCGAATAACACAGCAAGTGGGTGTCTGACACAGGGCTCAAGCCTGATTTTTCTAAACTTTCACTTGTGTTCTTTGTACTACATGATGTTAGTTATGCATTCTTTTTTTTTTAATTATACTTTAAGTTCTAGGGTGCATGTGCATATCGTGCAGGTTTGTTACATATGTATACATGTGCCATGTTGGTGTGCTGCACCCATTAATTCATCATTTACATTAGGTATGTCTCCTAATGCTATCCCTCCCCCCTCCCTCCACCCCACAACAGGCCCCGATGTGTGATGTCCCCCTTCCTGTGTCCACGTGTTCTCATTGTTCAATTCCCACCTATGAGTGAGAACATGCGGTGTTTGCTTTTTTGTTCTTGCAATAGTTTGCTGAGAATGATGGTTTCCAGCTTCATCCATGTCCCTACAAAGGACATGAACTCATCCTTTCTTATAGCTGCATAGTATTCCATGGTGTATATGTGCCACATTTTCTTAATCCAGTCTATCGTCGATGGACATTTGGGTTGGTTCCAAGTCTTTGCTGTTGTGAATAGTGCCACAATAAACACACGTGTGCATGTGCCTTTATAGCAGCATGATTTATAATCCTTTGGGTATATACCCAGTAATGGAATGGCTGGGTCAAATGGTATTTCTAGTTCTAGATCCTTGAGGAATCGCCACACTGTCTTCTACAGTGGTTGAACTAGTTTACAGTCTCACCAACAGTGTAAAAGTGTTCCTATTTCTCCACATCCTCTCCAGCACCTGTTGTTTCCTGACTTTTTAATGATTGCCATTCTAACTGGCGTGAGATGGTATCTCATTGTGGTTTTGATTTGCATTTCTCTGATAGCCAGTGATGATGAGCATTTTTTCATGTGTCTTTTGGCTGCATAAATGTCTTCTTTTGAGAAGGGTCTGTTCATATCCTTTGCCCACTTTTTGATGGAGTTTTTTTTTTCTTATAAATTTGTTTGAGTTCTTTGTAGATACTGGATATTAGCCTTTTGTCAGATGAGTAGATTGCAAAAATGTTTTCCCATTCTGTAGGTTGCGTATTCACTCTGATGGTAGTTTCTTTAGTGCAGAAGCTCTTTAGTTTAATTAGATCCCATTTGTCAATTTTGGCTTTTGTTGCCATTGCTTTTGGTGTCTTATCTTAAGCACCAAGACCTCTTTCTTTGAATTACCTGCCCTGGACATTGTAATGAAAACTATTTGAAGGGGTCTTTTAAAATGAGTGAATGATTTAAAAGCCTTGTTGATTGCAAACTTGCAATCATCTGCAATCTCTGTAAGTCCATTTAATATTTCTATCTTATTTATTTATTTATTTTTCAGCCTAGGCAAAGCATTATGTATGTAGCTGATGATACGGACATGTTTCTCTTAGTTAAATTAATGATGGTAGTAATTATGTTAGCAATAGCAATGACATTAATAATAATATTATATGGAGCTTACTATGTGACAGCAACTGAACTGAGCATTAGAAATGTATTCTGTCACTGAACCCTCACAAATAATAAAATCATTCCCATTTTGTATGTGAAGAAACTGAGGCAAAAAGAGGTTGAATTACTTGCCAAAAGTCACACAGCTCTAAGTCTTACTCCAGAGTTCTTTACTCCACTAGTAGTGAATTTTGTTATTGGTGAAAAACAGTGTCATATTCTCCCTAAAATTCACAGGACTTCATCTCTACTATGGAATTTTAGTTTACATTGACTTTTGTATTCATTTACTGTTTTTAATAAATATTAATATCACAAATTTACCAGCTTAAAACAACACATTTATTATCTCACAGATTTGGTGACTCAGAAATCCAGGCACAGTTTAGGGGGTCTTCTACTCAAATTCTGATGAAGGTGTCAGCAGGAGCTGCCACCATCTGTGGCTTGAAGTCCTCTTCTAAGCGCACTGTTTGTTGGATTCAGTTCTTTGTGGTTACAGGATGAGGTCCTCAGCTCTCAGAGGTCATCCAGCATCGCGTGCCGTATAACCTCCTCTCTAACATGGCAGTTTGCTTCTTTAAGACTAACAAGAGAGTATCCTTGATGCTTCTTGTTTATTACCTATAGATCGACCCTCTTTTAAAGGGCACATGTGATTCGGTCTCTTTGGGGATAATCTCCCTTCTGATGAACTCAAACTCAATTGATTAGGGACTTTAATTACATCACAATGTTTTTTAACCTTTGTCACATTTTATATTCTAATCATGGAAGTGGTCTCATCTTCAGAGTCCTGCCTACATTCAGAAGAGGGCATTGGCCGGGCGTGGTAGCTCACGCCTCTAATCCCAGCACTTTGGGAGCCTGAGGCAGAAGGATCACTTGAGGTCAGGAGTTTAAGACCAGCCTGGGCAACATGGTGAAACCCCCATCTCTACTAAAAACACAAAAATTAGCCAGGCGTGGTGGCACACACCTGTAGTCCCAGCTACTTGCGAGGCTAAGGTGGGCAAATTGCTTGAACTCGGGAAGCAGAGGTTGCAATGAGCCGAGATCATGCCACGGCACTCCAACCTGGGCAACAGAGTGAGATTCTGACTTGAAAAAAAAAAAAAAGGCATCATACAAAGGCGTGGGTCACTGAGGATCATATGGAATTCTGGCCACCGTAATTTCTAATGAGGAGGACTTGCTTCATCTCTACTGCTAGTCTTCAAGTTTTCTAAAGGCCTGGAATTAATAGTCTTTGTTTAGCTTCCTGTATACAACAAAGTTCCTTGCACAGAATGGGCAATCTGTGTTTTCTGAATAATTGAATGAATGTGGACTTTTTGTCTTTGTGCGTCAGTTCCAGCATCTCACCCAAGATGGTTTTGGCATAGGATCAGTGTTAATATCAATGATGCCTATTTTTAGAAACACAAACAGAAGTTTTTGCTATCACTGGAAGTTATGCTGATGCACAGGTAGTAATCTTGTCTCTGAAAAAATTAACTATGTCTTATGGTATTAGTTTGGCTATACTTCTTTGTGGTTGTTATCATTCCTCAGAGCTAAAAAAATGTGAACATATGCTATCAATTAGTGGGTTCATGAGGAATTTTGCAAACAAATACTGCCAGAGTGCTGAAAATTGGAATTACCTCATCTTGTTTACAACTATCGTGCGTGGAGGTTTGAGATTACATAGTTTATTAATTATGGTTAGAATTCTTTTAAGTCATCTACCAATGATTTACTCTGCTCCTCAGTTCAGAAATATAAGTTTCTAATATATGTATTACCTAAACTCCCTGTGGTGCTGGTTTAATTTTTTTAAATGAAGATTTAACAATACTTCTAAAGTAACTCTTTTGTAAACACTATGCTTATTTGGACAACTACACATGCCATTCTGGATTTCTTTGTAGACCTGTCTCAAATGCAAGTGTTTTTTCTTCATAATTCATGATAATACTAATATCTACTTATATATAACACTTAGAAGTTTACTTTTCTTTTGGAGAAGTATGTAGTCTTTTCCAGCAAAACTTTCAAAAAAAGTTTTCCAGCAAAACTTTCAAAAATTTCCAGGAATTATTTTACATGGCAGTTTTTGTACTTCTTCCATTTTTATTGTCAGTTTCCTTTATCTCCATGAGACATTATTTTCCTACTGTCATTTTGGAAATTATGGCTTTCACAGCTGAATTATATGAGCCATCACCTCTATACAGAATATTACTAACTCCACACCGAGAAAAATGTCACGTAAAGCTGAATAAGCGTTTGGAAAATATGAAAGCATATACAACCAGGTGGTTTAAATAATTGGAGATACAAATATCCTTTTTTCTTTTAGTCTTATGTGAGTTAGATAAATAACTGACCAAATGCTTTTTCTTACCCATGTAAACATGGTTTATTTTTTTTTCTCCATAGTTTGCTCTCAACTTTAATGCCTTCATCTAAGTGAGGTGACTTTATCTAGCAGGCATTTTATTTGTGCCTGCGACTTGGTTAGTTCATGTAATTTGAGAACACTAGTTGTTAACAAAACATGATACAATGAACTGTGTGTACTATAATAAAGACTGGAATTTTGGGGCATAATTTTAGCTCTTCCCTCCTTCTTGCTCAGCTACAAATGGAGCAGAAGATTCCAATCAGAGACCTGAGGTCAAAACCATACCAGCTGTTACCTCTGTGTGATCCTGGGCAAGTTACTGTCTGGGTGATCTTCATCTGTCTCCTCATTCTGTGAAATGATAATCACGGATCCCCCATTAATGGGGTTACTTATATGAGTAATGTCTGTAAAATGCTTAACACAGTGGCACATACGTTTCACATAAATGTTACCTATTTGCATTTCATTTCATCTTTTATGATGCTGGTATACATGGTGAGCAACAAGAACAAAGTCCTTATTGGTGAAAAATAAGAGTTCTCCTATGTAGCGTTCCCATAGATATATGTAAATTTGCATATGGTATCAGTGTTTGAGGTAACAAACAGCTGTTTCACAAGGTAGTTGTGAATATTACCACCTGTTTCTGGTGATAGGTAGTATTCAGAGACTTAGAATCTTCTTCAGAGAAGTTTCTGTGTACAATCATGAATCACTCAACAATGGGGATACATTGTCAGAAATATAGGCATTTTCTTGGTGAGAATATTAGGTGGTTTCGTCATTGTGTGAACATAATAGAATTTACTCACACAAACTTAGATGGTGCAGCCTACTACATGCCTAAGCTATAGATGGTTTGTAGCTTTGGTCCTAGGCTACAAACCTGTACAGCATGTTATTCTACTAAATACTGTGGGCAGTCGTAACACAATGTTATGTATTTGTGTATCTAAACATAGGAGAGGTATAATAAAAATATATTGTAAAAGATATACAGTGGTTACCCCTGTATTAGACACTTAGCATGAGCAGAGTTTGCAGGACTGGAAGTTGCCCTGGGTGTCAGTAAGTGAGTGGTAAGTGAAAGTGAAGGTCTAGAACATTACTGTACACTATATAGACTTTATAAACACTGTACACTTAGCCTATACTAAATTTATAAAAATATTTTTACTTCGATAACAAATCAAAATTAGCTGATGCTAACTTTTTGTCATCTTTTAAACTTTTTGACCCTTTTGCAATAACTCAAAATAGCTTAAAACACAAACACATTATACAGATGTACAAAAATATTTCCTTTTTTAGATCCGCATTCTATATGCTTTATTTCTATTTTTAAATTTTTCTTTCATTTTTATTTATTTTTTGTTAAAAACTAAGACACAATTGAACATATTAGCTTAGGCCTGCACAGGGTCAGGATCATCAATATTCAGTGTCTTCCACCTCTGCATCTTGTTGCACTGGAAGGTCTTTGGGGCCCTAACACTCATAGAGCTGTCATCTCCGTATCTTCTTCTGGAATACCCCTTGAAGGACCTGCCTAAGGCTGTTTTACAGTTAACTTTAAAAAAAATATAAGTAGAAGGAATACACTCTAAAATAATGATAATATAGTAAATAAGTAAACCAGTTACATAGTCATTTATAATTATTATCAAGTACTATGTAATGCACCCCATTGTATGTGCTATACTTTTTTTATGACTGGCAGTAGAGTAAGTTTGCTTACACCAGCTTCACCACAAACATGTAAGTAATGCATTGCACTATGATGTTAGGATGGCTGCAGTATCTTTAGGCAATAGGATATTTTCAGCTCCAATATAATTTGATGGGGCCACAATCCTGTATGACATCCATCCTTGACCAAATGGTTGTTATGCAGTTTATGACTGTATATGTGTGCATGTAATATTTTCACAATATTGGGTAGATCCTTCCATATATATTTAGATATAAGCATATATTCATATATATATATATATATATATATATATATATACACACACACACACATAATTGTCTGTTTTTATTTGAATATTTTGCTCATTGAGAAGGGGAAAGAAATATGTTCAGGTGAAAGATTTAGGTATAAGTGGATACACACAAATAGGGTTATAATGGACATACAGAGGAGACTGAGGAAAAAACATACAAGAGATTTTGGTTATACTTATAAAAATAAAAAGGTAACATTTAGATAGCCCTTGTAGTAAGCCAGAACTCACCTCAGTACTTCACGTATTAATTCATTTAATCATCATAAAACTACTCTATGAGGTGGAAATTATGAATATTGCCACTTTACAAATGGGGAAAACTAAGTCACAGAAATGGTAAGTGACTTGTTTGTGGCCATGTGACCAATATATGGGGGAATAGGGATTTGAAGCTTTGTAGTGTAGGGTACATGTGCACAACGTGCAGGTTTGTTACATATGTATACATGTGCCTTGTTGGTGTGCTGCCCCCATTAACTCGTCATTTAACATTAGGTATATCTCCTAATGCTATCCCTCCCCTCTCCCCCCAGCCCACAACAGGCCCTAGTGTGTGATGTTCCCCTTCCTGTGTCCATGTGTTCTCATTGTTCATTTCTCACCTATGACTGAGAACACGCGGTGTTTGGTTTTTTGTCCTTGCAGTAGTTTGCTGAGAATGATGGTTTCCAGCTTCATCCATGTCCCTACAAAGGACATGAAATCATCCTTTTTTATGGCTGCATAGTATTCCACGGCGTATATGTGCCACATTTTCTTAATCCAGTCTATCACTGATGGACATTTGGGTTGGTTCCAAGTCTTTGCTGTTGTGAATAGTGCTGCAATAAACATACGTGTGCATGTGTCTTTATAGCAGCATGATTTATAATCCTTTGAGTATATATCCAGTAATGGAATGGCTGGGTCAAATGGTATTTCTAGTTCTAGATCCTTGAGGAATGGCCAAACTGACTTCCACAATGGTTGAACTAGTTTACAGTCCCACCAACAGTGTAAAAGTGTTCCTATTTCTCCACATCCTCTCCAGCACCTGTTGTTTCCTGACTTTTTAATGATCGCCATTCTAACTGGTGTGAGATGGTATCTCATTGTGGTTTTGATTTGCATTTCTCTGATGACCAGTGATGATGAGCATATTTTCATGTGTTTTTTGGCTGCATAAATGTCTTCTTTTGAGAAGTGTCTGTTCATATCCTTTGCCCACTTTTTGATGGGGTTCTTTGTTTTTTTCTTGTAAATTTGTTTGAGTTCATTGTAGATTCTGGATATTAGCCCTTTGTCAGATGAGTAGATTGCAAAAATGTTTTCCCATTCTGTAGGTTGCCTGTTCTCTCTTATGGTAGTTTCTTTTGCCGTGCAGAAGCTTTTTAGTTTAATTAGATCCCATTTGTCAATTTTGGCTTTTGTTGCCATTGCTTTTGGTGTTTTAGACATGAAGTCCTTGCCCATGCCTATGTCCTGAATGGTATTGCCTAGGTTTTCTTCTAGGGTTTTTATGGTTTTAGGTCTAACATGTAAGTCTTTAATCCATCTTGAATTAATTTTTGTATAAGGTGTAAGGAAGGGATCCAGTTTCAGCTTTCTACATATGGCTAGCCAGTTTTCCCAGGACCATTTATTAAATAGGAAATCCTTTCCCCATTTCTTGTTTTTGTCAGGTTTGTCAAAGATCAGATAGTTGTAGATATGCGGCATTATTTCTGGGGGCTCTGTTCTGTTCCATTGGTCTATATCTCTTTGTTGGTACCAGTACCATGCTGTTTTGGTTACTGTAGCCTTGTAGTATAGTTTGAAGTCAGGTAGCATGCTGCCTCCAGCTTTGTTCTTTTGGCTTAGGATTGACTTGGCGATGAGGGCTCTTTTTTGGTTCCATATGAACTTTAAAGTAGTTTTTTCCAATTCTGTGAAGAAAGTCATTGGTAGCTTGATGGGGATGGCATTGAATCTGTAAATTACCTTGGGCAGTATGACCATTTTCACGATATTGATTCTTCCATTTGTTCATATCCTCTTTTATTTCATTGAGCAGTGGTTTGTAGTTCCCCTTGAAGAGGTCCTTCATGTCCCTTGTAAGTTGGATTCCTAGGTATTTTATTCTCTTTGAAGCAATTGTCAATGGAAGTTCACTCATGATTTGGCTCTCTGTGTGTCTATTATTGGTGTGTAAAAATGCTTGTGATTTTTGCACATTGATTTTGCATCCTGAGACTTTCCTGAGGTTGCCTATCAGCTTGAGGAGATTTTGGGCTGAGACAATGGGGTTTTCTAGATATACAATCATGTCATCTGCAAACAGGGACAATTTGACTTCCTCTTTTCCTAATTGAATACCCTTTATTTCCTTCTCCTGCCGGATTGCCCTGGCCAGAACTTCCAACACTATGTTGAATAGGAGTGGTGCGAGAGGGCATCCCTGTCTTGTGCCAGTTTTCAAAGGGAATGCTTCCAGTTTTTGCCCATTCAGTATGATATTGGCTGTGGGTTTGTCATAAATAGCTCTTATTATTTTGAGATACATCCCATCGATACCTAATTTATTGAGAGTTTTTAGCATGAAGGGTTGTAAAATTTTGTCAAAGGCCTTTTCTGCATGTATTGAGATAATCATGTGGTTTTTGTCGTTGGTTGTGTTTATATGCTGGGTAATGTTTATTGATTTGCGTTATGTTGAACCAGTCTTGCATCCCAGGGATGAAGCCCACTTGATCATGGTGGATAAGCTTTTTGTTGTGCTGCTGGATTCGGTTTGCCAGTATTTTATTGAGGATTTTTGCATCGATGTTCATCAGGGATATTGGTCTAAAATTCTCTTTTTTTTGTTGTGTCTCTGCCAGGCTTTGGTATCAGGATGATGCTGGCCTCATATAATGAGTTAGGGAGGATTCCCTCTTTTTCTTTTGATTGGAATGGTACCAGCTGCTCCTTGTACCTCTGGTAGAATTCAGCTGTGAATCCATCTGGTCCTGGACTTTTTTTGGTTGGTAAGCTATTAATTATTGCCTCAATTTCAGAGCCTGTTATTGTTCTATTCAGAGATTCAACTTCTTCCTGGTTTAGTCTTGGGAGGGTGTATGTATCGAGTAATTTATCCATTTCTTCTAGATTTTCTAGTTTATTTGCGTAGACGTGTTTATAGTGTTCTCTGATGGTAGTTTGTATTTCTGTGGGATTGGTGGTGATATCCCCTTTATCATTTTTTATTGCGTCTATTTGATTCTTCTTCAGGGCATCCACATTTCAATGACCAGAGGTGTGTAGGCTGCCTCTGGCAAAGGTTCAATGACCAGAGGTGTGTGGGCTGCCTCTGGCAAAGGGACAGTGCTCCTGAGGATTCAAGTGGTGGAAATGCTTAAGGGAAAAGATTAACCCTTCCATTCCTTCTTGTTAGGCATCATGCATGTAGTCGACTTTTGCATTAAAAAAAATTGCTCTTCATTAGTTGTGAACATGTATTTTCTGGCTTCTCTTTATGTTCCAATTTGTGGATTGAGAGGTATTAATGAACTAGTGTGGTATTCAAAATATACCCATTAGCATTTTGCAGATTAAAGCAATCCGTGTTATTCTTAAAAATGCATGTACGAGCTTAGACGTAACATGCATGAAGGGTGATATCTACGTTAGCAATTGGATAAATATTAAATACTAGAATTGCAAATAGTTTCATTTTTTAATAATTATAAAGATTTAATTTGATTTAACCAAAATTTCAGAATAGTAAATGAAGCAATTTAAGTTATTTTCAAGGCAGGAAGATGAGATATATTCCATTTTTTGGTTTGATTTATTATTATTATTATTATTATTATTATTATTATTATTATTGTTTTTGAAACAGTTTTCACTCTGTCGCCCAGGCTGCAGTGTAGTGGTGCAATCTGGGCTCACTGCCACCTCTGCCTCCTAGGATAAAGTGATTCTCCCACCTTAGCCTCCAGAGTAGCTAGGACTACAGGCATGTGCCACCACACCTGGCTAATTTTTTGTAGAGACAGCATTTCACCATGTTGCCCAGGCTGGTCTAGTACTACTGGGCTCAAACGATCCGCCTGCCTTGTCCTCCCAAAATGCTGGGATTACAAGTGTGAACCACCTCACCCAACAGGAAAATGTTCATATTTCATCATAACAGTAATTTAGTAATTTATTGGGAAAAACTAGAAATTATTTAGGATAGATATCTAAACTTTGAAACTTTTATTGTGAAGGACAAATTTTTAGAGCACTGCATAACTAAAACACAATGCTGGTCCTTCCTACTGTCAAGACTGCCTGGATTCAAATTTTGGCTCTGCTGATGATTAGCTGGGTAGTGATTGCTCAAATTAATTGAGCTCCTTCTCAGTCTCTTCTGTGAAATAAACATACTAACACATTCGCCTCCTAGTGTTATCATGAGAACTGGCTCTGAGAAAGCAGTCAGTGAATGTTAGATATTATTCTTTTATTTCATTGTTAGTGTCTTCCTGCTGCTTTAACTAAGAAAGTGATTTTTAAAACCTGCTCAATGTATATAAGAAGTTTCACCTACCGTCTCAAAGATAAGGCAAGGATCTCCCTGAACAGAGTTTGTATTTTTTGTGGCTTGCCCAGTTCTGTATAACATTGTGCATTTTTCTTCCTTTTTGTATTTAGCGAATACAAATAAGAAAAACAGAAGAGGCTAGATGTAGTGACTCACACTTTGGGAGACCGAGGTGGTAATATCACTTAAGCCAAGAAATTTGAGACCAGCCTGTGCAACATAGCTAGACCCCATCCCTACAAAAAAATTAAAAATTAAAAATTAGCTGGGCATGGCAGCACATACCTGTGGTCCAAGCTACTCAGGAGGCTGAGGCAGGAGGATCTCTTGAGGCTGGGAGGTTGAGGCTGCATGCATTGTGCCATAATTGCAGCACTGCTGTATGGCCTGGGTGACAGAGGGAGACCCTGTCTCAAAAAAAAAAAAAAAGAGAAACAGAAGGAAAATATTTCCCCTCTCTATATATGATTTGAAACCTCTTAGCCTGCTTTGGATTAGCAAATACTTCTTATGGGAGCAACTACAAATGTAAAGTAAAGCAAACATCCCCCTTACCACAGACACCTTGTATTTCTCTTCCTCTTCTTACTTTTGCTTTCATCTATTCTGGAAAGCCCAGGTTTCTTGGCATCTTACAGAGCCTCAAGCCCAGCAAATAGGTAGGGGGGTTGAACCAGGGTAGCTGTGGTGTCTAATCTTTGCTTTTCTCTCACCAAATAAATGCCTCGCCCTGAGTCATACACATAGTAGGCACCAGGTGGATACTTTCATATTTGTTACAAGTTCAAACAAATTATATGATTGAAATGGACTGTTTTCATGTAGAAGTTGAGAACCCATCTCAACAATTATTGAAATGTTTTCAGGCAAAGTACTATTTGTTGTGGCATTTCACGGAGGAAATCCTCTTTTCTAATTATTGAAAGTGATTTTTATTCAAAGTATTCAGGGCTTTTGGAGAGGACAGTTGCAGTTTTCCTCTTAAGGTAATAGAACAACCATTTTAAGTATCTGAAATTTGCCGTAGAATTAAAATTTAGACCCCACTAAAAATGATTTGTGCTTAAGGGAAGCAGTATAGTTGGCGTTTAAAGTGAAAACAGGATTCAGACTGACAGGACATGTCGAAGCCCATTTGTTAAGTAGTTGGACAGATTAATTATTACCACTAAGCCTCCATTTCTTCATATGTAAAAGGAGGATAACAGCTGCATCTTCTTCATAGAGTTGGTGCGGGGATTGTTAGAAAAATCTGTGTAAAGCACTTAGCACAACTGCAGAAGGCAATTCATATACTACAAATATAAGTTATTATTATCTCTTAAAGTGTCAATATAATCTCTGTATAACATTAGCATCTGGGAACCATTTGAGGGCTGGATCCTAACCACTTACGGAGCACCTCATGTATGTCAGGCATTGTTCTAGATGCTCATGTTCTTTTATCAGCAACCCCAACTGGTAGGTGCTATTATTTCCTTGTCTCAGATGAACTTTAAGAACAGAGGAATATAAAGGTTCAGTTTCTAGTTAGTATGAAAATGCTCATATCTGACTACTGCATTGTAAAGGATTGGAAATCCTTGTATATGTGACAAATCATGTTTCTTGGAAAAAATAAAATTTTCTTTGTAATTTCTGTGGTCTAAAATCTATCGATATATGAACACCCTAATAAATGTCCCAATACATATGAAGTGTTTGGTAGAGTGCATGGCCTGCTATTCTTATTACTTGATTTTGAAAGCATGTGAGTTTATCATGTTAGCACTGCGCAAAATAGCAACTGCCCTGTTGAGTGTGCAGCTCTTGCTAAGGTCTGGGGATTCATGCAGAGGTCTGGGGCAAACCTCTTGACCTCGTTTACTCTCTCTTTCAACAGTCGTAGAGTGATAATGTCCAGAAGTACTATAAGGCCTGACTTGTTGAAGAATAAAACTATTTAGTATGAAAAGCTGTGTTGAGATAAGAGGTAATAAATAGTGACCTCACTTAAGTGAATTTGTGATTATTCAAGCCCTAACCATATAATCCATCTCCTTGTAACCAGTCTGGCCACATCACTACTCCTTAGCACAACTTCAGTTTTATACCCTTTGAAGAAGGAGCTTTACACCATTGGATAAAATTGTACCATTGATATCTTCTTTCAAATTTACATTCTACACCAGTCCTTTATACAGTTGTGTGCCTAGTTACAAATAATACCCTGATTTGTTGTCCAAGTTATCAAATATTGACCACTTATGAGGCAACTTAGTCAGTTATTCCAGAAACCCCTATGTAATAAGACACCTGTAACAGAGATACTCTTAGAATGATTGTATGTATACTACATAATGAATGAAAGAACCTGTAAATCTTCTGTGCATCCTCTGTCACTCTGAGTGCCTTGTGTTTAGTGAAGTCTAAAAATGTTTGCTGAATGAAGAAAGGGAATTTGGGGATTACTAATAATTCTAATTTGTTCGTTGTCTTTCTTCCTTCTAGGATGAAATCAAGAGTTGAATAAAATATACCATACACAGCTCTTATTTTGCATTAATACTTGGCTTTAAATTATACAGTGAATGCCATGCTCCCTATTTGCTGTTTTTTTTCCAGCATTCCTGATATTTTGAACAATACCTAAATAATTGTTAGCCATGTTGTGATAGCTATACATAAGAGAGCTACTTTTTTGTAGTTTTTTTTTGCAGGAAAAATAAAACAGCTATTGGACATATGGATCCTTGAATAATTCCTTTGAGAAAAATAAAATTGCAGCTCATAAACTTCAATTGATATTTTTAGATTAAAATTAATATCTTTCAATGAAGACATTGCAGAAAATTTTACTGTAATAATAACAGGAGATTCAGAACTTAATACCAGATTCTCCAAGTGCCTAAGTAATTCCCTTGGGAATATGTTTAGGCACATCTGCAGATTGTATTAATTCTTTCTTGCCACTGGGGGAGTATTGAATGAGTTATTGTTTCAAAGTACAGGCTGTGGAATAATCTGCTTCAGAACTAATAGAGCTAACTCACATTTTTATCTCCTCATATATCAGTAAGAGGGATTTCATTTCTAGTGTGAAATATATAAAGAGATAAATAGGATATTAGAGTTTGTAGGATGCATCCTTCTCAGGATTGGAGCTGTATATTTGGCCTTTCCAAACACTAACAGTAACGGAGATTTCATGCGCAAGTGTTCATTACAGAGATGATAGACTTTTCTATGGAGCATGTTTTATAGACTAAATCTTAAAGGAAAATGGTAAGAATACTTCTTACATATTGAATGTGCTTCATCTCCAAAAAATAAGTCTCTTTCCTTTCCCTCCCTCCTTCTTCTTCTCTCATTTTCTTTTTACCATTTTTTTGTCTCTAAGACAGTAAGGACTGTGTGACAGGAAACTGATTTTATGAGGAGAATTTTAGGTGTGGATGGCAGGGTCTTTTGGTGACTGAAAGCAGGAGCTTGTTAGTCTCCCTCCAGCCTCCTACTTATGGAACCCAGATTAGGGTTGAGAGAGCTGCCTACTTCAGTGGAATGAGTGGTTTTCAATAATCAAAATATTGTTTATTTATTAAGTTATATGTAATTCTTAGGTGTATTGTGTGCACTGTGCTAAGTGCTGCGTATACAGTATTGAAAAAAAAACGTCAAACTCTTTCCATTATGGAGATTATAGTTTAGTTGGGTGACACTAAAGAGTGAAGAGAGAACAAACAAACAAACAAATAAATATATTTCAATAAGGGAAGAATACTGGGGATTCTAATTGAGGTTTGGTAGGTGATCAGAGAAGGAATCTGAGATATAGTATTTAAACTGAGATCTGAAGGGTAAGTGGAGGTGAATAAGGTAAGAGAGAAGGGAAGATACGTCCATATACAGGCACCTACCAGGAAAAAAAAGTTTAGGCAGAAAAGATCTTGATGCCTTTGAGTAACTGGAAGGAGACCAGTGTGATTGCTACGTCGTGAACTGGAAGCAGGGTTGGAAACCTAGCAGGGGTCACATCATGCAAAGTTTTGTGGGCATTTTTATGAGTTTTTGCTTTGAACTGAGTTGAAAGACATCAAGGCTTTTAAAAAAGAGAGGATCAAGACCTGATACATGTCTTAAGAATTTTACTTGGCAATGTGGGTTGGAGGAAGAAAAAGTGCATGGGGAAACTAGCTTGGAGACTGTTGTATTTGTCAATGAATGGGATGATGTCATGGCTAACATTTTGGCAGGGCAGTTGGAGAAAAAACTGACTATGTGTGTTTGTATATACGTGTATAGTTATAGATAACAGAATGAATGGAACTTGTCAAATGATTAGATGAAGGGTACTTCAAGATTGAGCACTAATTTTTTTTGTCCTGGGCAGCTGGGTAGATAATAATACTATTTTCTGAAAAGGAAGACAAACTTTGAGGATGGAGGTGGGGAGTTTGATTTTAGAAAAGTGAAGTTTGAGATGCTTGCATCTCAAGTAGGTTTTTGGATATATGATTTTGATGCTCAGATATACATTTTGGCATTTTGAGGCATATAAATTATATTTTATGGATGAGAAGACCTGTGGAGACTTGTATGCAAAGAGGAAAGAAGAGGTGGGGTTGGGGGCAAGATTGGTCCCCAAGGAATTCCAACTTTGAGGATCGAGTTAGAGGAGGAAGGGCCAGCAGCTGTTGCTGAAGGAGGGTAGGAGGAGGCCAGGAAAGGCTTCAGGAAAATCAAGAAGATGTGCTGATACGATGGCCACGAAAGCTAGGGTATCAAGATAGAGAGGTGGCTATTGTGCCAAGCACTGCTGAGAGGGCTGGTTTAAGAGGCAAAGCATGTTCAATCAGATGGAACAACACAAAGATTGTTTAAGGTTTAAGATAAGAGAAGTTGGTGGAGTGGCGGAGGCTGAAGCAAGAGTAGAGTGAGGTGAAGAATGAATGTGGAATGATAAGGCAGGCAGCACATGTAAGCAAGTCTTTAAAGACTTTTTTCTCTGAAAAGGAATTGAGATATTGGGCAATAGCTGGAGAAGGTTGTGAGGTTAAGAGGAATTTTTTTTAATGATTGGAGATACTAGATCAGAAAGAGAGAGGATGAACAGAAATTCAAAGACCTTGCAAAGCCAAAGAGTGGGATTCAGAAGCATGCGAGGGAATGGCCTTTGTTAGGAAAGGAGAAGGAGAAGGTGGGTGGAGCCCATGACATTCTGTGTTTTGGAGATGTTATTTGAAGAGGGAGTTAAAGCCTCATAGATTCTGTTTTCTCAGTAAAGAGAAACTTAGAGTCATTGGCTAAAAGTGAGGGAGTGAGGGAGTGAGGGGGTTTGAAAAGTATGAGGGAGGAAAGAGCAAACTTAGAAGGAAACTGTGGGAAGTGTACACATTTGAGAACTATTCCACAGAACTTTGATAAATCAAACCAATAAAGGAAGAGAAGTTCTGTTTGAAGGCAAGCGAGGAGGAGCAGAAGTTTGCCCACTCAGTTTTCTCTGTACTGTAGGGGTAGGCCTAGAGGAACCCCTTGGCTCCAAGGTATTCAATCTGAAAACACGTAGCTGGGGAAAATGTGTCTTTTCAATAGAGACAGAGCACTCAATTGGTGTGATAGTGTGTGTGTATGTGTGTGCGTGTGTGTGTGTGTGCACTGACCCTTCCAGAGCTGCCCCATGTAGGATGATTCAAATCTCCCATCACCTCCCCCCATCACTTTTCTCTAGAATTTGATCAGTAAAATGTAACTTTTCATCTTGAAACCATCCAGAATTCCCAGTGAAAAATCAAATTCTCCTAGAAGGGCTGCTAGCTTGTGAAACTTAAAATCATTTAGGTTTCAGCTAGTTGAAAACAAGATGAATGCCTGCACCCAGGAGCTGGGGGACCACAAAGTGGTGAAAAGAGTCACTCAGCGAGTGGGAAAAGAACCATGCAAACTCTAGCTGCTTTATAATTTTGTAGTAGATTCTATTTGCTTTTTCTAAGCTATTGTTTAATGTCACAGGAAAATCTTCGACCTGGCATGTTCTCAGCCCCCCTATGGAGTGACTCATTCTTTACTTGGATCAATCATAAAAATATGAGATGGAATAAGCATGCAGGACAAATGTTGAAAATCCCAAGATGATCATATTCTATTTTCTTCTGGGTAATCACTACTGATTTTCTTCTGTTTATGTAAGTCCATCACATTGACTCCTATGTCAGATAAGCCAACATCATTTGTGCACCTTTTTTAAAAGAGGCTTTATATTTCTCAAAATTATGATAATTACTTATCCATGTGCCCATGATATGACTCTATTAATATATAATAGTTTCTTTCAAGAAGATCAGAATTAGTCCTGATTTTTTTCTGGAGGCATGTTTTAATTTCCTTTGGCAGAGATGTCTAGTAATCTGTGAGAAAAGCTGTTGTCAGAATATCGTTTCAGTTGATTTTAACATTGTAAAAGCAGTGGGTCATATTTGCAGTCTGTTTTGCTATTGTTGTATGTAGAGATTTGAGATAGCGCAGAGGGTGAGGGAGTAGGTCCTCGGTTGTTCTGCTGGGTGCGATCACAGACACGTTTCTTTTGTCTTCTGTAAAATAAGAATAATAAAATTACCTCTTCCATGAATTTCTTCTGAGGATTTAATGAGTTAATAAGCCCAGAACACATAGCTGTTCCCTGGTAAGCAGTAATCATAAGCCAATTTAGGCATATAAAGAAGCTACAGAACAAATTGGGAGACCACATGATGTAGTTGAAAAATCCTTGCCTTTGGAGTCAGATATCCACAGGTTCAGATTTTGGCACTGATATACACTAGCTATGTGATCTTAGGAACATCACCTTGCTCTCTGAGCCATGGCTTAGGGGCCTTTTTTTCTCAAAGCTTTAGTTTCTTCATCTTTAAACTAGAAATAGTCACCCTCACTTCATAGGGCTGATGTAACAATTACGTGGGATCATGTGTAGAAAATGTATAGAAAGGCACACGTATGAGGTTTGTTTAACATTTGCTGGGGGTGTTTATATAATGTCAGCTTCTCCTTTATTGCCAGCCAGATTTGTTTCTATTCTGATAGATATGACTGTAGTTATTTCTGACAGCTTACTCAATCCTCATGGTCTGTTACACTTACAAGTCCCTGAACATTAGATCATTTTTGCAATGAGGTGTAGATTTTGGAACAAGTCAAAATCAAGATTATAAAGCCATTAGTTATATAATGGCTATTATAATTATTTATTATAGGAACAATGTAGGCTCTGTTCTAAAAGTACATAAAACCTAATTCCTAAGGAGTAAGTCTTCGCTTAGGCCTCATTGAAGGGCATAGTTAAGGAACCTTTGCAGCAAGCTGTGAAAACTGACTCATTAAAGACAGCTTGTCAGCCTTTCCCTGCAAATACTCAGTGCCATATCTAAGAACACTGTTGCTGCAGTTAATACAATGTAAATCAATTTTTGAATATATACCCCAGAGGCTCTTAGCTCAGTCACATTGGGTAAAGTGTTTCCTGATCCAGTAGCTCTATCTGGTTAATGCAGAAGTAGAGAGAAGGGCTGCAGGACTGAAATGTATTGAACGAAGGGGGCATACCTTCCTTAAATACAAATTAGGGACCTTATAGTATCTGTCCCATAAAATAAAAGAAAAAAAATTCCTGATTCTGTAATATTAAACATTTCTTTTTTTTAAGAAAGGAAAACCAATTACTAACATGATTTTAATGTTTAAATATGTCCAACAGAAAAGCCATTTGTGAAACTATTTCTATAGTATGCCTATACGCATGTAAGCAAGCATGGTTTTAGCCAAATACTGTCAGAGACTCTATTTTAATTTACCATGCTTCCTCTTAGACCTAAGGCATCAGCTGTGTAGCTGTGTAAATCACACTGTTTTAGCTGGCTTAGAGGCCCTTGGGAATGCTTTAGGATTTCAGTGTTAGACTCGGTAGTTTGCATGGGGGGGCTTTTGAGAAACGAGTTTGCAGGCCAAGTTGCTACATCTGTTTTAGAGCTATAGTAGAAACTTCATCACAGGCACCGTGACTACTGCAGGATCTGTGGGAACTTCTCCTGGAAAAGACCCAGGAGATCAATAATGTGGCACATTCCAGGCAGAATTGAGGGAAGGCACTTAGCTGCTGGACCTGCCTCAGATGTGAGACACAAAAAGAAAGAGTAATTTATTCCATTTTGCTATTTCTCTATTGCAGTAAAATGTTTCTTAAAAATTATATTTTCAAAAATTATTGCCTGTTTCTTTTCAAATAATGGCATATTTTTCCACAGTGCCTTGTTCTGCTGTACATTTTTTTTTTTTTTTTGAGACAGGGTCTCACTCTGTCACTCAGGCTGGAATGCAGTGGTGTGATGTCGGCTCACTGCAACCTCCACCTCCTGGGTACAAGTGATTCTCCTGCCTCAGCCTCCTGAGTAGCTGGGACTACAGGCACCCACCACCGCACCTGGCTGATTTTTGTATTTTTTTTTTTTTTGGTAGAGACAGGGTATCACTGTGTTGGTCAGGCTGGTCTTGAACTCCTGGCCTCAAGTGATCTGCCTGCCTCAGCCTTCCAAGTTGCTGGGATCATAGGCATGAGCCACTGTGCCCGCCTCTACATCCATTTTTAACATTTACCAAGCACTAAAAGAGATCTTATATATGCTGAATTTTTGTTGGAAGTTTTGTATAGGCTTGGAATAAACAAATCCAAATGTTAAAATTGGAAAATCTATTTCTGTAAGATTCATAGCTTTTTATTGTGGTTGCTGTCATAATATGATTCTAAGAAAACTGTTTTGAGAAAAAAAAGAGAAAATACAATTAATATTTCTTTTCTATCTTTCATTGCTGTCTTTTGAGGAAGAGAGGTCACTGTAATCACTCTTATAAAAATTATGTTATAGATTTGATTGATAGGGACAATAGCTCCTAATTGTTGATCTCCATTAATTGATAGGGGTAGGAGAGAGTTGTATGTTCTACTCTATACTATTTTGATTTGAGGCAAGGGAACTGGCTCTCAAATCTCTTTATCTAGGGAGCAATGGTCAACCAATAGAATCTATACAATTTGTGCTTCCTTAAGTATGTTATCAATAAGTAGTGTTCAATTTGTTGTGACTAATTGATTATGTTTGACATGTAGCTTGGAGGCTTTTATTTAAAGCAGTCTTTTGGTAAATTTTTTCTTAATGTTAAGAAGGCTGCATCTTGTGATAGAAAATGCATACGATTTCAAGTCTGGGTGCTTTTCTTGGCTGACCAACCATAGACACTTGGCAATACTCACTTCCTCATCCTGTAAAGTGGATATCATAACTTTCCATGAGGGCTGATCAAGATCAATTGATATAATTCTTGTATTAGCGTTGGTAAACTCTAAATTCTAGCCCATACAGTTAAAGTACTATATGCTATTATTTTATTCTTACAATTAATTTTTTCCTATGTATAAACTTGGAATTTTCAACATCAAACCTACATGAAAAAAAACAACAGTGTAATCCTTTGTAAATAGCAAATGAAGCCTGTGTGGTCACCTGTTAATTGCTCTTAGCACTGTTATTTTTAAGGATTCAGCACTGGTAATACAGTAACTGCCTCCTCCTAGGGGTTCAAGCTCTGTGTGCTCCTCAGAAGAGAGAAGATACACTCTAGATTCTTCTTTTTCCTAATTCATGTGGTTCTAAATTCAGTATAAATTAATTCTCTGACTACCAAAGGAACCCTGATATTTATCACCTATCCAAATTGTTTCAATATTTCAGGATCCAGTTCAAAACCTATTCTCCTCATGAAATACTCTCTGATGACTCTGAAGTTCATTGACTGCTTCATGTTTAAAGACAGTGTCTGATTCATAATTTACCAGTTTACCACTTACGATTCATATGTTTATCACTTTCTAATTAGGCAATTTGTCTCATCTTTCTAACTTTAGCTTTTGGAAGTCCTTAAAGGTGAAAGCAGTATAATTCTTTTGTTTTCCTTCTCAATGGATTTTTTCCCGTAGTTTTTTTTTTCCCCCATCCCACTTTGTTGTTCATGCTTATGTGGAGGAGCTAATGGACAGGTGCACCATTAGAACCTCCCTGGGTATAGAGGGAAGAATTTTGGATCAGTGAGTTCTAAGAGTGCTTACCCAGCTGAGAACATAATCTGGCTGTTCTGATATCTCATAGCCTAAAGAATCCACGAGTCTGATCTAGTTGACCTTTGTTGGTTCAGAAGATCTTTGCCTTCTTCTTCACTGTTCCTTGTGAGTCCTTCCAAAGTTACCTGCCTTGCTGGAGCCATCTGCCTTCCCAGGAGGTATCTGTTACTCAGGCAAAGTTCCTCCCAAGTTGTAATAGCCAGACAAGAAGTCTAAACTCAAGAATTTTAATTTTGGTATGTCATGTTTAAAAAGTATGGTATCTCTTATATTCCAGGAAGCTTTTATGTTGTGTGTTTATGTTTCCATCAATTTAACCTTTGTGTTATTCTAGGTAATGAAGATTCTCAGAATGAAGGGATGAATTGAGTGCTTAAAAGCAAATTGTTAAGCACTCAATAAAAAAGTGATGTATTGAGCTCCACAGGGTATGTATAGACATTTGGTTTACATAATTCTCACCTCTGGAGACCTTTCAGTAAGGCAGAATAAACAGATAAACTTGTAATTATTTGTTTAACTATAATTGTGAGTCAGTAAAATTGTGTGTATGTGTGCATTTTAACTAAGAATATACTCAGCAACCACCATACACAAGGGCTTGTGCTAGTGCAGGTGGCACAGAGAGAAACCAGACATAAACCCTGCATTAAAGGAACTCACTATAGTCATTTGTGTATAGTCAAGAAACTATTTATTAGTGTGATGTAATTGAAGTATTGAAGAAAACTGATTAATTCTAAGGAAGACAGAGAAGACTTCACCAAGAATATAAAGCCTTCAGCTTCCTTCAAATGGAAAAGTATGATTTCACTGATCAAGTGCAAGGTGTGAAAGGTCATGGCTTATTTAGGGAATAATAAGATGTTCAGTATGACTGGCCACAGAGTATGTTAAAAGTCACATCATGGGACATTATTACAAACTAGTCTAGGCCTCTCTGCCAGTTATGCCAAATGAAAATGCTCTAGGCCTTTTTAAAACAAGTAATTAACACTTATCTGCTTGCGGCACAGCACCAAGGCATGAACCAAAGGCTTCAACAGAAGTGGTTTCTTCATGTTTGAGGGAAAATATTGCAGAAATTGTTCTGGGCATCCTGAACCTAAAATCTTTCCGAATAGTTGTTTAGGGAAATGTAAGGAATTGGCTTGCAAACAGTAATCTGTGGGACATTCGCTTGACTTTAGATTTTGTGTGATCGTAAGAAGATAATTTAGAAATAGATTTTGTTTTTTAGACATGTCAGATATACTGAAAAGATGAATAAAAAATAGGACTGGTTGGGCACGGTGGCTCAGTTGCTCATGCCTGTAATCCCAGCACTTTGGGAGACTGAGGCGGGTGGATCATGAGGCCAGGAGATTGAGACCAGCCTGACCAACATGGTGAAGCCCTGTCTCTACTAAAACTACAAAAATTAGGCAGGCGTGGTGGCAGGTGCCTGTAATCCCAGCTACTCGGAAGGCTGAGGCAGGAGGCCGAGGCAGGAGAATCACTTGAACCTGGGAGGTGGAGGTTGCAGTAAGCTGAGATTGCACCACTGCACTTCAGCCTAGTTGACAAGAGCAAGACTCTGTCTCAAAAAAAAAAAAAAAAATTAGCCAGTTGTGGTGGCCTGCACCTGTAGTCCTAGCTACTCGGGAGGCTGAGGCAGGGGAATCACTTCTTGAACCTGGGAGGCAGAGGTTGCAGGGAGCTGAGATTGCGCCACTGCACTCCAGCCTGGCAACAGAGCTAGACTCTGTCAAAAAAAAAAAAAAAAAAAAAAAAAGACTAAGAGCCTAGGTACAAGAGGGAACTGTTCTTTCTTTCAATCAATTGAGTTATGGACAGTGCATTGTAAGCTAAAGACCACTGATTCTAACGATGTTTATAATTTATTCTTGAAAGACGTAGACTCTAATTTTCCTGCAGCTTGGAATCTGTAATAAGGACATTATTTGGCACACAGGGGACACTGATTATCTGTTGCTGATACTGAGCCATCTCTATTTACATCAGAGTTTAAACATTTGCCTCGGTTTTCACTTCAGTAAAATAATTTTGTTTATGTATTATGCTCTAAGGGAATTGAGCAAGATGAGGACCTGGGAAAAAAGTATTGTGACAATGTTTGGGTGATACGTTTATCTAAAGTTAATATCCTTTGGTCTGAACCGGGTGATATTGAGACTATGTTTATTTCTAACTAAGGTAGCAGCAACATGGAGAGGAAAAATGGAATCATTAAACATTTGTACATTCCTGGTTATAAAACTGCCTTTAAAATCTATACTTAGTGCTAATCTGTTTTTAGGCTATATTGGAATAGAGAAGAAATGTAGTCTCTTAAATATAAGATATCATTGATTATAAGATGTACCATCAATTTAATAGCAGCTTTGGAAGAAGCTGGGGAAAAAAAACTTGTATGTCCCATTAAATGCACACACTTTCTTCTTTTTTGCAAAATTCATCCTAAAACATGCTGTTCCTCCAGGCTTTTTACATAGACGAGTGAGTGCTCAGGTAGAAAATATGTAAATTAGCCCAGTTTTCCCTCTTTCCTTCTCATCTCCCACATCTTCTTCAATCAGCAAGACTTATAGACTCTACTCACTAAAGATGTACTACATCATTGCTGTTTTTGCTGCTACTCCTCTAGTCCAAACCACCACAGTCTCTTGCCAGGGGAGACCTCTTTTGCTGTCACTAGCCACCTTAGATATTCATTACACACATAGAAGTCAGAGGCGCGATCTTTCAAAAGGTAGTAAAGGCATGTCACTTTCGGCTTAAAATTCCACAGTGGGCTTCCTTCCCCTTAAAATCCAACCTCTTTATCGTCCAAACCCCTAACTCAGTGAATCGCAGTGACACAAGAATTCCTGGGAGTCCTTGAGAACTTTATCATGGTCCAATAGATCTAAACACTTTTCATCATAATATAAAGACTTTATTGACTTTTTCTCTCTCACTCTCCCATGTGTGCGCAGAGGGCTTTCCTAGAGATAATGCAACATGCACTATCCCAACACATTGAATGCAGAAGGAGATATGAGAACCAGAAGTTTTCTATTAAGCTGGACATTGAAAAGATGTGCAAAAATGTAAAACAATGCCCCTCTTTTTACCTTCTTTCATTTTGAAAATATCAGTATTTTTCATAAAATTATGTTATTTCTATTAACATGCAATGGGTTTGTTATTGCTATTTCTAAGTGAATAAATAAGTAAATACATGCCTTTGTTTGAATTTCTAACGTGGAAAATGTCTATATAATACATTTAAACAGAAGCGACTTGGAGTCATCAATATTTAGGAGTGTAAAGGGAACAGAAATGTCGTTCAGTGAATGAATGGGTAAACAAACTGGTACATTCATACCTGGGATTCTGCTCAGCAATTCAAGAGGAATAACTATTAATCCACCAGCAACTTGGATAGACCTCAAGGACGTTTAGCTGAGGGGAGATAAAAAGCAGCCTACTTATATAACAATATAGCATTCATATAACATTTTCAAAGTGAGAAAATTATAGAGAACCCATCAGTGGTTACCAGAGGTTAAAATTGGATGAAAGGTATGGCTATTAAAATATAACACAAGGGGGTTTCTTTGTGGTGACAGAATAGTGCTGTAACAATGGTGATGGGGTGACACAATTCTACACATGTGATAAAATTTAATATATATAAAAAAAGTACAAACTGATAAAATCTGAATAAGGTCTGTATCTAAGTTGTATTGTACCAAAATTAATTTTTTTTGTTTTGAAATATACTATGGTTATGTAAGATATTATCATTGGGGGAAGTTGGGGTAAGGGCACACTATATATATTTTTATTTTTATTTATTTATATGTGATATATGTATATGTAATTCATATATATGATAAATATATACATTGTATTACATGTTTTATATTCATTATATATTTTTATATATTATATTTTAAAATATATACATTACATATATTTTATATTTATATTTTATAATACTTATAAAATATATATTTTATATTATTTTATGTATAATTTTATAATTAATATATAAACTATAATATATTACATATATCTGTATTATATATGTATACTTTATTAATTATAAAATTATACACTATATAATTATTTTATCATAATTTATATAATTACAAAATTTGGTTGTATATTATATATTATATATGTATATTTATATATATATAATTTAATTTTTAAAAAAAGAGTGTGTAAAGATCCTAGAGAACAAAATGCTTGAGAAATGTTGCCCCACATAAATCTACCACCTGCATGCCTTTCAGGCTTTTCTTCCCTCTGCTAATTACATTTCCACTGCACTTTTCTCTCTTCTGTTTCTTCAACATACTGAGCTCAGGCCATTTATACCAGCCCTTTCTTCTTCCTGGAAATATTGTCCCCAGATCTCTTTAAGGCTGATTCTGTCCCATCATGTCATCTCAGTTTCAGCAGCATTTCCTTCAGGAGCTTTCCTGACCATGCAGGATGAAGCAGTTTCCTGGTCATGCTCTATGTTCTCTACTGTTTGGTTTTCACCCTAACACTTCCCACCAGCTAATATTTCTTGTTTCTCTATTTGTGAGTTACCTGTGAGCTAGGCTGGGAGTTCCATAAGTGCAGGCATCTTCTCTGTCCATTCACTGTGGTTCCCCAATGCATAGAAGCATACTTGAGATGTTGCAAGAGCTGAATCCACATTTGTTGAGCAAATGCACTAATCCGTACATATTGTTCCTCAACATCACATCAAAGTGCGTGGTAACTCACAGGCAACTTTAAATCTATAAAGGAGTTGGTCAATCAGTTTACAGTTACTTGGCTGCTTTTCATAACCTGTACATGGGATTTTAAACTTTTTAGCACCTTCAGTATTGACAATATACTTTTGTATTGTTTATAATGTGATATTCAAATTTAACTGGGTGTTCTGTCTATCTGGCAATGCTGCCTAGAAGACACCAGATTATTTTACACTCATTCTTCTCAAAATGGGATGCACCGACTTGCCAGTGTGGAAATATATCAGCAAATACATTAAGTTTAGAACATTATGATGCATCTTCCTTCACTATCAGTGTTCTGCTAGAAGTCTGAGGATACATTTTAAGATTTTTTTCAGTCTTCCAAGATTATCATGGGCTAATTAGATCAAGATAATCCAGTTTATTTTTGTATTGGGACAATAGAATTTTTTTGTTGGTCGTTTTAAAAGTTTAGAGAATAGAGACATTTTCTGTGCAATTAGTAATGGGAACATTTGATACTTTTGTGTTGTGAAGAAATCTAGTGATACTAGCACTAGCTATAGAGTAATCAGTGGTCCAAAAAGGAATAAAAAATACTGAAGACTTCCTCCTATTGTGGAATGTGTCATTTCTTATGATGTCCTCAGAAAACTTCACAGAGTTTTAAATGTTTTTGTCACTTATAAGCCGGGTTCTTTAAACTTTATATTAAAAATATTGCTCCCACATATCATTTTAGCTTTTTCCCACCTTTGGGCGGATCAAAGTTTTGTTTGTAAGCCACCATCTACTGTTTTTTCCACTTCTCCCTGCAGTTAGTTAGAAAATGACCAAGATTCTGAGATGTATTTGTAATATTTATTGCATTCTATATATAACTTTAAACAATTTCATGGATTTAAATTTTATTTTCTACTAGCAACAAAATGAAACCAATGTGTTATGAAACCAATGCATTATGTGTGTGGTTTATAGCAACCTAAAATATATGGGGTCATGACTAACAAAAAGAAGATTTTGAAGATTTTCGCAGTAAACCTGACATTAAGGAAGATGGTGACCGTACTTTGGCCACAGCTAGTATAGTGGTGGTAAGAGACAGGATAGGATGTTCTTAAAACTTATTTGTGGCCACAAGTAGGGGCTCATGCCTGTAATCCCAGCAGTTTGGGAGACCAAGGAGGGAGGATCACTTTAAGACAGGAGTTGGAGACTAGCCTGGACCCTGTCTCTACAAAAATTTAAAATATTAGCCGGGTGTAGTGGTGTGCATCTGTAGCCCTAGCTACTTGGGATGCTGAGGCAAAAAGATTGCTTGAGCCCAGAAGTTCAAGGCTGCAGTGAGTTATGATCACACCACTGCACTCCAGCCTGGGCAACAGAGCAAGACCACATCACTAAAAACAAAACAAAAAAAAACAAATTTATTTATGTGTTTTAATTAACTATGGTCATGATACAAGTAAGCCTAAGCCTTAGTCTTTTGAAGTAATCTTTGAAATGAGTGAACTAAAAATCCAGTCATGCAAATTTTGAACACAATTTGCAAAAATTTTTGCCAACTATAAAGAAAAAAATCATGACTATAACCTATATAGTGGAAAAATACAACCAAACTTAGAAAATGGTATCTTTCTTGTAGCTTTCTTCAAGGCCAATTTCAAAGTGACCTTTGAAAGTGAGGTTCACATAATGGAAGAAAATTTGATGAAACCCATGGGAAATAATGAAATTCTTCTGCATCAAGAAGGAGTAGCCACTCAGAGCGAAAGGCACCCTTATCTAATACCATCAGAAAATATACACCTAAGCAACTTGTTGAGAGCTTGAGTTCTTGCCCATATATCTATATGACTTGGGTGATGTCAAAGTTATCACTTTAATGGACTTTGTTTTTCATATATATATATGTATGTATGTATATGGACATCAACAAAAATATAGTAAACTTCATATTGCCTGTTGACAAGCAACTGGGAAGAAATTGGCAATAACTGGCACCTCTATAAAGAACAAAACTTTGGGAGCTCAATCTCCTACACCAAGTCCATTATTTATTAAAAATCTCCTGCTTTAAATAATTTAGCCAGAATTCTCTCAGTATTTTCTATGGGATGATTAAAAATACAAATGTTTTATAAAATCAGCTGGTTCAGATACCTATCATTTTAGACAAATGTTTTGTGAATTGCAAGAGGAGTTCAAAAACTTATTCTATGAATATAGATGTTGGAGCAAGAAAGAGGGTTAAAATGCTTAAACGTGGTTTTGAATTATTGTTTTTCCATAAAATGGAAAATACTGGATATCATGTCAAAGGCAATGACCTGGAAAAATGGCTGATCTTATTGTTCTCATAAACTTGGTTTATTTTGCAGATTTTTCATAGCTGAATATTCTTATCAACAGCTGTAATTGCAGAATTGAACTGTTTTTGACTGTTTATATCAAATTACTATAATAAATACAAAGTTATATAGTTTGATGAAGACAGTTGATCATAGAGACTATGTGGCTCTTAGCTCATTTAGAGTTGATAGACATTATGGGTTTCTTGGTGAAAGAAAAATAGCTTTTGATGACTTATTTTTCAAGACATTAAAAAACAAACTGAAAGATGATTCAGAAAATATTTCAGTTTGTAACATAAAATAAGCAACTTCACCTCTTACCAAGAAGATTAACAACCCATTTTCTATCAATAAGAGCCTGAAAATGCAACTCTATCAGCTTCTTTTTAGGATTATGCATAAATCTTTTCAGGTATTGCCTTGAGATATTTCATAAAAAAGTAAGAAATAATTTACTGTATCAGTATCCCCTTCATATTATTTATCTATTGCATATAACAAAATACCCTAAACGTTAGTAGCTTAAGAAAACTAGACTCTCATTTGGTATTTACTGAAAGAAGTTAAAAAAAAACAAAAATAAACATATATAATCTCTTAGTTTTTGTAGGTCAGGAATGTAGGATGGCTTAGCTGGACAGTTCTGACTCTACTAATTGTTTTATGAAATAGCAGTTAAGATGTCAGCTAGAGCTGCAGTTGTCCACAGATTTAACTGAAGCTGGAGGATCTGTTTCCACATTTACTCAGTCATATAGCTGGCAGGATGGTACTGATTATTGACTGGAGGCCTCTGTTTTTCCCCATATGGTCTTCTCCTCAGGGTTGCTTGAGTGTCCTCATGACATGGCAGCTGGTTTCCAACCAGAGCGAGCAATTCATGAGGCTAGGGTGGAAACTGCAATGTCTTTTATGGCATATTCTCAGAAGTCACACACTTTCAACTTATTCACTATTCATTGAAGGTTACCATACATGTTACCAAAAGTTTACCAAACAGGTTATACAGGTTACCAAAGCATAAGGGTGCTACACAACAGAAGTAAGCAAGGATCATGATGGCGGCACACAATGGATGGTGGCTCCTCCAACATACGCCAGAGTATATGCATAAAATATTGTGATACCAATATGGAAGGAATAAATGTTCCAGCACTGAAACTGATATGCAGCGAATGTCAAATCTCTCCAATTCAGCCCAGTTGTCAGACATTTTAGACCCTGTGCTGGTATATTTTGCATATTAACCAAAATGAAACCATAATCTATTTGTTTTCTAGAAAGAATCATATGATATTTAAAGTACTTGAATTTCTGGTCTCTAGTCGAAATCTGATATTGGTTGATACTACTAGGAGGTTTTATTTTTTTTCTTAGCATCATTTATTTACTGTTGATAATCACATATATTATAACATATTATTCACCTGTTGGGATTAATGAAAGACTGCAGTGTTAAAAGACCAAAGAGATAATGAATTACAGTCTTTGAAAGTTCTGCCTTTAGATCAGGGCAGTGCTAACAACAGATTTTAATGACTCAGACATAAAAAGCCCTCTTTTTTCTCTCTGTAGAGGACACACTGTACCAATCCTCTTTTCACTTCATTTAGTCCCAGTTAGTGTAGAATTAGTGGGGAAGACTAAGAGTAACTCATAGGGATTTTCAGCCACATTGGTATGCATAGACAATAATACCGTCAGCACCATTATCTTTTAATTCAAAGAGCATGGCATAGAATTCAGAGCATGTACAAAACGTATAAATTTATAGAGTTTCATTGCTCTGCTCAGAAATGTAAGTTTATAGTATGCATAAATGCCATTAAATCATATTTTCAGCCTTCTTTATATCTTTACCATTAATAATTCATTCATGGATGTGGTTTTATATATATATATCTATGCAAAGATTAATTTTTCACCTATTCTGTATCACTATAGATGTATTGGTAAAACTAGACAGAACATTTGTAAAAGGCATTGCCAATAGAGATTGAAAGTAGCTCTGGCCAGGCGCGGTGGCTCACGCCTATAATCCCAGCACTTTGGGAGGCTGAGGCAGGTGGATAATGAGGTCGGGAGTTTGAGACCAGCCTGACCAACATAGTGAAACCCCATCTCTACTAAAAATACAAAAAATTAGCTGAGCGTGGCGGCAGGCACCTGTAATTCCAGCTACTTGGGAGGCTGAGGCAGGAGAATCACTTGAACCCGGGAGCCGGAGGTTGCAGTGAGCCGAGATCTTACCACTGCACTCCAGTCCAGGCAACAGTGTGAGACTCTGTCTCGAAAAAGAAAAAGAAAGAAAAGAAAAGAAAAGAAATTGGCCCTTAGTCTAGAATTAGCATATGTGTTAAAAAAATTCAGGGTAAGAACCTGATAATTTTAAAAGGGAGGTGGAGAGGAGGCTTATTGCATTTTCATAAGTCTTTCTTGAGTAAATACTATCACCTACATGTTGTGGTGAGGTGATTAAGATACTGTGACAGACTCTTTTTTTTACCTGCCTTGGTAGTGGAGCCTGAATCATTCAGAGTAGCTAACATGTCTACTTTGTTTGAATTCACCAAATATGTTTTTCTCAGATTTTCAAATCTGTTTCTGATATTGTCAGAATTGACAAAAATTAAATCACTCTGCTAATGTGAAAATAACAATTTAACCAGTTATATTTTAAAGCAATATTCACAGTAGACCTTAAGATGCATCACAAGGAAAACTACATTTGTTAACCTACCCAATTGCTAAGTGGAGGCTTTCTTTAATACAGGTAAGCCTACACAATGTTAAATCTTGCATATATTTAGGATACATATATAAAGTATATAAAGTAAATAAATAATATGGTATAATCTTTCTTCCCTCATTGGTAAATAGCTGAATGCCTAAACATTAAATACTTTATAGAATGAGAATAATTACTATAAAGACCATTTTAGGTAAAAATATAACTAACATTAAAATGAGATCATATTTTGATATACCACTTCCAAAATTAACAGGAATTTCATACTGACTGGCTGAAATTAATGTACTCATAAGCATTTTTGGATGAGATTTTATTGGATTTTTCAGGTTAAGGAACTAAATCACATGAAACACATAATAAATTATCCGAAAAAATATAAGGAGGCAAATATGGGTGAGCCCCTATGAGATATAACGTGTCATTAAAAGAAAGCCTGAATCAAGGAAAGAGGGAGAGAGTGGTAGGGTAAGGGAGTCAGTAAGAAAGAGGAAGTAGGGGAAACTGTCAGATAAGACGTAGCCTGCAGTAGAAAAGGATAAATCTGAGAAGATGGTAGCTAGTGGCTGGTTTCCTTAGACATAGTGTTGATGGGTGTATATAGAGACCCTGTCCAGCATGCCTCAAAAACAGTAGGGAAGCACTCATGGAAGATGTCCATGTAACCAGCCTGAGTTAATGCCGCTGTTGTATGGTGCACATGTGACATGCATTTAATGGAGAAGTTTCCCATTACACAACCCTTAACCCACCCAACAGCCATGGATCCAAAGAAGTGTTTTATGGACTGGCTGATGAGTGCAGACCTGTGGTCAATAGAGGACACTGAGAATGAGGCATTTGAGAGACAATGGCAAGGTCTGAGGTGCACAGTGGCAGATGCAAACCTACATCAAAGGCCGCTGAGGACCAGTGGCATAACCAGCATATTTCCTGTGCCCAGTGCTCTGAGACAAGAGCGGACTTGGGACATGTCTGGAGAGACCATAGGGCAGCATGGATCACGCCCTAGCTCACCTGCTGAGGTCTGTACATTTTCCCCTTCAGATGATTTTTTGAAGGAGAAGGGAAAGGGTGAAAAAAATAGCAACACAAAACTATTGTTGGAGAATCTGAAGTTTGAATTAATTGAATATTTACCTATAATAGATTGATTAGAACAAAATAACATTCTCACCCAAAACACTAAAATATGTTTAATTTACAAGATAGTTTTTTTTTTCTGTGCTATGCTTTGGGATGGAGGATCATGAGGAAATCTAGATCAGTTACAGAGAAGTAAAAATGCTACAATATTTTGCACAACTTTGCATACCTGAAGTAAAATTTTCTTCCTCTGTACATGTTTAATGCTAATTCTCTTTTGGACTTCTGTACAGGGATATTCTGCAGCCATATCAAAAACCTGCACTGAGCATTGAACTCATTTTCTTTTATGTACTTCACAAATCCCCATTTACCTCTCCCTGTCCCCACTTATCCTGCTGTTCTTTTTGAGGAGAGATGACACCACCAGTTGCCCAAGCCAATGTCCTTCTAACTCTTATTTCCTTAACTCCTAAACATCTTTCTCTTCCAGAATTTGCTCTCTATTTCTACTTACACTGCTGCCTTACATCCTTCCTTCTTCATCTCTACCCTGGTTGACCTTAGTATCTTCTTGACCTCCCTGTCTCCAGGCTTGTCACCAGTCATGTCGTCTACAGAGGTATTGTGAGTGCTTTTTCACATTGAGATCTACCCTTGTCTTTTTCCTTTCTTAAAAATTTTTCTCCAGCAATCCACTGTGTAGAGAATGCAGGTGACACTGAACAGTGTGTGGATTAGGGGAACCAAACCCTCGTGCACTCAGAAATCAATGTATAACTTTTGACTCCCCCAAAACTCAACTACTAGTAGCCTCCTATTGACTGGAATCCTTACTGATATTATAAACAGTCAATTAACACATATATTGTATGTTATATGTATTGTATATTGTATTTTTACTGTAAAGTCAGCTAGAGAAGAGAAAATGTTATTAAGAATTCCATAATGAAGAGAAAATATATTTACTATTGTTAAGTAGAAGTGGATCATAATAAAGGTCTTCATCCTCCTCATCCTCACGTTGAATATGCTGAGGAAGGAGAAGGAGAGAGAAGAAAGAGAAGGGCTTGGTCTTGCTGTCTTAAGGGTGGCAGAGACAGAGAAAATCCATGTGTAAGTGGACTGGTGTACTTCAAACCTATGTTGTTCAAGGGTCAATTGTAGTCCAAATACCTTAACATGTTTTAACTAGCCTTTCAGAACGAATGTGTCACAGTTACTGGATGTGAGCCTCCTTGGATTGATTTTTTTTTCAAAGCTTCCTGGGAGATTCAGGTATGATTCAAGGTTCAGAAAGCTGAGTTAGATAGGTCACAATAAGTTTATATTGTTTTTAAAAGATAAATTAGAACTGAAATTACAAAATTAGAAAATTCTCATGTGAAACTTGCAAACCCTGAGACCTGCCCCTGCAACAAGTGTAGAAACACTACTCTGTCCTCTAATGAAAGACATTTGAAGGTGCATAAACTAAAGAGTGATATGGTCACATTAGATAATAATAATACTACTAATAATAAACAACCCTGGGGACAGTTTTAATGGTAGATGCTGCATTAGTTCATTTCCATACTGCTATAAAGAACTGCCCAAGACTGGGTAATTTATAAAGGAAAGAGGTTTAATTAACTAACAGTTCAGCAAGGCTGGGGAGGCTTCAGGAAACATAATCATGGTGGAATGTGAGGGGGAAAAAAGGAACCTTCTTCACAAGGCAGCAGGAAGGAGAAGTGCTGAGCAATAGGGAAAGAGCCCCTTATAAATCTGTCAGATCTCTTGAGAATTCACTCACTATTATAAGAATAACATGGGAGGAACCAGCCCCATGATTCTGTTACCTCCACCTGGTCTCTTCCTTGACAGGTAGGGATTACAGAGATCATGGGTATTACAATTCAAGATGAGATTTGGGTGGAGACACAAAGCCTAACCGTATCAGATACATAGAGTGCAGAGCTAATAAGAGGAAGTTCCATTAAGAGGCCTTTGCAATAATTCCGGTGTTCAGCGCTACTTATATAAAGACAGATAAGGCCTGGGGAAATCATTCTGGAGCTTGTCTAGGAAAGGAGAGACAATCACAATACCTGGCAGTGAGCATGGGAGAGACAGATACCAGGGGTAATGGCAGCGCTGGTGAGAGAGACAGGTTGCAGATAACTAGGAGGTATCTACCAAGGTTATTAAGGTATAAAAATTAGCTGGGCGGCATGGTGGGTCACACCTGTAGTCCTAACTACTTGGGGTTGAGGTAGGAGGATTGCTTGATCCCAGGAGTTCAAGGTTGCAGTGAGCCATGATCATGCCACTGCACTCCAGTCTGGGTGACCGAGCAAGACCCCAACTCTAAAATAAACTTAAAAAATTTAAAAACTAGCAAAATTATGCCATCACCAAAGTACAGTCTCTATTAGCTAACAACTGATATGAAAGAGAAAATGTGTACCTCACACTTAGTGTAGATTTAAGAAAAAAAAAAAACACTGAGAAATTCAAATGGCAAATTCAAATATACTTCCTGTATTTTGCCAAAGGCTTCTGCTTATACAGCCAAATACAGCTAATGGTTCATTAAGGCAGTGAGGTTTGCAAATTCATCAATAACATGCTTCATTTAATTATTTGTGTGTGAGAAAAAAATAGCTAAGATATATGGACTCTTTTAAGAGAGCAAATTATAGTCCCCACCTGTGACCAGTGAACATTTGTATCTTAGCCTATTTTCAAGCTGCATTTTCATGTTATGGCATTACAGAATAATGACCCTGGATCATTAGGAAAAAGTTTGATGGCAGTCAGTATATGTTGCATATTGTAACACATTTCTCAGCTTTCTTACTTAGCAAAGCATTATTTTACTTCCTTTTAGTCTATGTATGGAACTGCTTTTGCTTAGTTGTTTATTTTAAATTATTTAGTTATTTATCTAATTAAATAATTTATAAACCTGTCACACAAAACAAAATCTAGTTTTACGGTGACTTTTGTTTCACCACATAATTTCCCCATCTACCTACTTGCTCCCTCCCAGGCAATCAGCACCTGAATTCTCATGCTCACAATTGCTTTCCTTTCCTTTTTGAAGAATTTTGTTGCAAACTGTGTGTATAAAATGGGTATCACACTGTGGATAATCTCTCTGGACTTACTTTTTCACTGAGTGTGATTTTGCTAAGATTCATCCATAGAGTTGCTGGTTGCAGTGTGTTCATATTGGCTGCTATGAATACACTGCATTATACTTTTCCACTCTGCTTTCATTGGTTGTGTGTGCCTGAGCCAGTACCACACTGCTTCCTAATGAGCCTTGATGCCTGCTTTTCTTCACAGATGTTTTTGGTTCCTATTCATTCATTTAAATTTGAAAATCACATTTTCTAGTTCCAATTTTAAAAAGCTCTGTTGGAAATAGCACAACATTTTAGATATCTTGGCACCCAGAAACATTTAAGATGTTCCAACTTAAAGAAAATTCTAGGCACTTGTATCACTTGCCCATTGCCACAATACTACTGCAAAACAAACTACCTCAAAGTGTATAGTGTAAAGGCTTAAAACAGCAACGATGTACTGTTCTCGCAAGTTCATGGGCCAGCTGGGTGCTTCTACTAATCTGTGCTGGCTTTACTGTTCTCAGCTGGCTCAGGCAAGTGTCTGTGGCCACTGGATGGGTTGCCTGGGATTGGTTGGTCTAGAATCTACTCATCCTGCATTACTCAGCTTATCGTCTAAGCAGACTATCCCCAGGCTTATTGTCATGGTGAAAAAAGAGGAAGTAGAAATGGGCAAGCATTTTTTCATGCCTCTGCTATATCAAGTTTGCCATTGCTCCACTGGCAAAGCAGAAGTCACTGGAAAATAGGTGTACTAAAAGAAAGTGTGGTTACAGAGAGGTTTTAAAAATTACAGTCACGCATGCAATCTGCCAGACAGTTTTTACCAAGTACTAGTTCTAATTTACCTTGTGAATATGTCAATTAAAAATAACTCGTTTGCAAAGAGCTTTACTCACATTCTGGAGATAAACAAAACAGAAAAATATGCAGTCCTCAGCAATGTAACTGCAAACTCGCCAATGTAATCAATGATGTTTTGATTCACATCTGCAGGTAACAGTACCTAATGATTAGAATGATTTCAGCCAAAAGTGTATGAGCATTTATGTCTAAAGTAACACCCAGTTTAGAGGTGTGCTTTGTAATCCCTGATGGAGTAATACAAAACCTTCAGTAGAGTCATTAAGGAATGACACCAATTATTGTAAAATATCTCAGGAAAATGTATGAGGACAAACTTTATTTACACACAAAAAGTTGTTTTTTCTTACAGCCTTACAATATCCTGTGTCTTACTTCTTCTCATAAGAAATTGAGTTACAAATTAGTCTAGAAATTGTCATTTCTGTCCTAGAAAATTCCAAATATGCTTGCCTTAAAGGAGAGTTTCTTGTTTTAACCTTTAAATAAAATAAGAAATAATACCATGAAGACTGTCTGCTGGTATTCTTCAGTTTGATCATATGTACAAAACTTAACTGAAATCCTATTTATTTATGTAGCATTTTTAAATTGCAATTATTACAGCCATTTACCATTTACAGGCACTTGCATTGTTTGTTTAAGCTGCAATACTCAGGATAGGTCTAGAAAATTGGTAGCATGAACTATCTTCAATTGCAGCTTATATAGTTGAATCTTTTTTTATGCTAATTTTGGAGGATAAAACTAATCCTGGATTATAAGATAATCACATTATATCATCTAGTTATGCTTCTCCAAACATGATTTTAGATGTAGAATGTACAAATGTTTGTAAAAGCCAATGTTGTGATTTTTCTATACATATTTATTCCTTGATTTGAGAAGAAGGTTGGAACTTTAAAGAAAAGATAAGGAATTAATATACTTTTAGATTTTCATGTATTATCCAGCTTGTGGGCAAAATATCAAGTGAATTTCAAAGATGTTTCACTATTAGACATTTATATACATTATGTCATCTAAACCCACACATTTCTGAAAGAGCAAATGTGTATGTCTAACTTCCAGAGATTCTGAAAAAGCTTCTGACAAATTTAACACCCATTTCAGGAAAACGAAACTCAAAATAGAAATTAGTGGGAACTCCATATTATAAAATATATGTACACTACATTAGTAAAACCAGAATTTTACTTAATGGGGAAATACTAGAAATATTTTCATTAATACCAGAAACAAGTCAAGACTGCCTATTATATCTGTTAACTTTCAACATTGTACTAGAGGTTTCCTTTAATGTAATTTGAAAAGAAATTGATTTGGAAGCATAAGAACTTGAAGTAAAACTATTTCTATATGTAGATGATACGATTGTATACCCGAAAAACCTTACAGAAGCAATGATAAAACTAACTCAAATAATACATGAATTTAATTTAAAAAATGGAGTATAGAATTACCATAAAATAATATCTTATTATACACAATACCTAGACAGTATAATAACAGAAACACTCCATTTGTAATAGCAGAAAAATAAAATCTACAGGAAAAAATTTAACAAAGAATGTGCAAAATTTATTTGTGGAAAAAGTAATACACTACTGAAACACATAGAGTAGTTTTAAATAAATGAAAAGACATACCTTGTTTTGAGATAGGATACTCAAAGTCAGATGTCAGTTCACACTAAATTAATTCATCAGTTTTTGTATTTTATAAATGTAAAGAATCTCCAAAATTAATACTAAACATAGTTAATGAAACTAAACGTGGTATTGCACTTCATATGGAAAAATAAGCATGCAGGAATAAAGAACAAAACCCAAAAACCTAAATAGAATAATATGCAAAAGAGGACTATCCCTGCCAGACATTAAAATATATTATAAAGCCTCTGTAATTAAAACTGTGGCACAGACACATGAATATATAAATAGACTAGTGGAATAGAATAGAAAGTCTAGAAATAGACTCAGTACACGTGGAATATATGATAAAGGTGGCATCTCAAATCACTAGAGTGAAGATGAATCTTTTTAATAAATGAAGTTGAAACCACCGGACAAAGTAAAAAATAAATTAAGCTATATAATACTAGATAAAAGCATAGGTGACTTCCTTATTAATCTGAATTTGTATGGAAAGGTTTCATAACTACAACTCAAAATCAGATTTAATAAATGGAAAAACTGAAAAATTTTATTGCCTAAATGTAAAAATGTTTTAATGCCTGCATGTGAAAAAGCAATTTAAATAAAGTCAAAGGACCACTGACAAAAAACAACTAGGAGAAAATACTTACAATATTTATAATAGACAAAGGGATACTTTTACTTACATATGAAGAATGTTTAAAAATTGAAGGAGAAAAGATTTTTAAAAGCCTGAGAAAAATATGGCCAACAAGCATAAACAATTTATATATAACACACACACACACACACACGCACTCAAATATAAATATACCCATATTATATATATATATACACACATGCACACACAAATATATATACACACAAAGAAATATAATACATATACACATATATTTACAATATTGACATTTATTTCTTAAACATAAGTAAACATATTCAACTTAACTGATGAAAAGAAAAATTTAAGTTAAAGTTATTATGACATACCATTTTTACATATTGGTGTAATGTTTATGCAAGACAAAAATGTTATTAAAAATCTGATGCACAATATTGTGCTTATAGTTAGTAGTACTATACACTTAAAATTTATGTAAGTGGGTAGATCTCATATTATGCTGGGATTTAACATTATATATATTAAAATAATATGTATATTGTTTACATCACACTCCCCTAGTGAGGCAGTGAGGGAGCAGGCATTTTCATGCATTGCTGGTAGAAATATTCATTGGTACAACTTATAGAGGGGAATTTTGTAATATCTGACCTTTATACATAGGCATTTACCTTTTTACACCGCAGTCTGTTTGTCAGAAATTTATTCTGAACATGCAACTCCAACAGTAATGAAAATGTATATGCATAAGGTATTCATTTCAACATTGTTTGTAATTCTATAACATTGGCAAGATCTAAAATGTCCACATATGAAAGAGTGGTTGAATAAACTATGACATGTCCATAGAGTTCTGTTCACCTGTAAAAGGAAAGAATAAGGATAAAGCCTATGAACTGATGGGGAGTGATTTTCAGAATATATTGTTAGCTAAAAAAAATGAAGGTGCAAAAGAGTATCTGTCATATTATTTTACAAATGAGGAGCATGATTTTACCAGAGGGAAAAGAAGGAGCTAGCTCAAATAATTTTGAACATATTTCCCCTTAGTCTAATGACAAAAAGAACTTTAAACACATATTGAACTCCTGTATTATTTTAGAGGCTTGGGTCAGCAATTCTGAAACTATTCTTTATGTGATTGAGCAAATATATCTCTATTTTTTTAGAATAACAGGAGGTGGGTTTCTCAGTTTTGGAAGACATAGTTACAAATACAGAAAGAAAAAAGTTAGAATGAACCCTGTGCTGTTGGATTTGTATTAGATGTATCAGTGTGAACTAATGCGTTGAAATATAGATAGCTAGATACAATCTGTTCCCTACCTCTGTTCTCTGAACATGACACTGTAATAGGAATTAACACACTTAGTACCCAGGTTGTGGGTTCTAAATACCGTTCTCTGATAAAATGACCAAAAAGCTTCTTGGAGAAATTGCTGATTCCAGGGCTGGGGCAAGGAAAGTCCAAGATTATTTTGTGTGCTAAAAGATGAAGAGAAATTATGTGTTCCATATTGCAAGGATATCTTCAAAGAATGATGGGGACATGTCAAAAGAACATGAAGTCCAACATGTAGGGGCTTCCACCGGCCAAATCTGGGAGAATATCAACAATTATGATACTGGAGGATAAAGTTAGAATCCATAAGCCCATACTGGGAAAGGTCTTGTTTCAGGAGAAAGCCATCTGATAAATGTAGACGGAATGATGGAATTATAAAAGCATAATTTTTTTTTCTTTTGAGACGGAGTCTCGCTCTGTCACCCAGGCTGGAGTGCAGTGGCACGAGCTAGACTCACTGCAAGCTCCGCCTCCCGGGTTCACGCCATTCTCCTGCCTCAGCCTCCTGAGTAGCTGGGACTACAGGCACCGGCCAACACGCCCAGCTAATTTTTTGTATTTTTAGTAGAGACGGGGTTTCACCGTGTTAGCCAGGATGGTCTCGATCTCCTGACCTCGTGATCCGCTGGCCTCGAACTCCCAAAGTGCTGGGATTACAGGCATGAACCACTGTGCCCGGCCAGCATCATTTTTTAGCCATCATATTAATAATTGATTCAGACAAGAAACATTCATGAATGCTAAAAGAAATGTGTGAAAGTTTAAGAAGTGTATACTCACATGGTCTCACAATATCTTTTAACAAGATATTTATGAATTACCAAAGGTCAAATAATTTTAGTGGAAAAATATGGAAGATACCACTTTAACCAAATAGTCAAAATAACCTTGCCATTTGTGAGTCTAATAGACAATATGTGACTGCTGAAAATAATGTGTTAAAAAGCACACAACAGTACTTCTGTGGTATTCCTGCCAAAAGTGTACATACTGAATCTAATTATGAAGAAACATCAGACAAACCTAAATTGATGATTATTCTAGAAAATAATTGACCTGTGCTCTTCAAAGGTGTCCGTGTCGTGAAAGAGAAAGACTCAGAAACGCTTTCAGATTAAAAGAGCCTGAAGAGAAATGACATTGCATCTTGTGAATACAATGCTTGATCATGGATTTTTGTTTGCTCTTATAGACATTATTGGGAAAACTTAGACACGGAATAAGGTTTGTAACATTGTAACATCTGTAGATTAGGTAACAGTATTTTATCATAATCAATTTCCTGATTTTAATGATTGCATCCATGGTGTGCAAAAGAATTGCTTGCTTTTAGAAAATGCACACTGAAATATTTAGGGGTAAGGGGATATCATGTCTGCAACTTACACTGAAATAATTCAGAAAAAATACACACGCAGACACACACACAGAGGCATATGTGAGAAAGGGAGAGAGAAGAATAAAAATAAATGTCATAAAATGTTAAAATCTTGATAAAGAGTATTCATAAATTCTTTTCACTATTCTTTCAATTTTAAAATTACATCCAAATATGTTATAAAGTAATAGATCCACAAATATAAATAGATATTTTCTCATTGCTCATTAACATCTTTAATGAATTAATCAGTATTGGTCAATTCCAATTTAATACCTTATGAAATGAAGAAACTATATAATTGCTGTGATAGCTCTTTCTGATTATGTAGCAATTATGTAATTTATATTTGTGATTAAAAGAAATGTCACAAAATTTCATTGTGTACAACAATATTTAATTGGCTGAACACAATGAAATCTTGAGACATCTCTTTTAATCACAAATTACAAAAGCTACATGAAGAGAGGTAGTCACAGCAAAAGAAGAGAATAATCATCAATGTTTGATTGTAACTTGAATGGAAATACATTCCCTCATTTGGGGTCATGTATGTGCCTGCTTCCTCCTGCAGTATTCAAGAAACAAAGGAATTTGGTGGTTTTTTATGAGAACTTTGGAGCCAGACATATTTGGGTTCAAATCCTGATGCTGTACTTAAACTCTGTAATGGAGACATCGATTTCCACCATATAAGGTGTGGGTATGGTTTAACAAGATAACCTAAGGAAGCACAGGGTTGCCATTATTATTACTGAATAGAAAGGTGATATAGCCAAAACAGCTACTTTCTGATCTCTTATGTTAAAAACAATTACATGGGAAAGAAACGTACTCTTTAATGTGTTAACATTTCAAGTGTGTGATAACACTCTATTCCTTTTCACTTAACTGAAATTTTCGCTGCAATTTCACATATATAATTCTTTCTTCCCTGCAGTCTTATTAGCATTATTCCCATGGAACAACCAAAGAAATAAAGCAAAAGTGTTTTAATTAACTCAGGTTTAATACATTTTTCTTATCTGCCATTGCTACAAATACTAGATGAGCATAACTGCTCTATGTACTCAGAATCTTTTAGTTGATCAAAGAAAGCAGTCTGCAGGAAATTCAAGACTAGAAATTCATTTAGTTCTCATTAGACCGTGGGCATGAGCAGATGCCATTTATCTTCCCAAATATCTTTAAATTTATCTTTTTCTGCCTGAATCTAATATTTTTTGGAATTATCCTGGCTTGAGAAGGGAAATGATGCACTTGGCTGACCTCCTTGTTTTCTTCCAGTCTTGTTATCTTACTAATGGAAGATCAAGAGATTCTTTATGATATGTTTGCTGATACTTTGGATAGAAAGGTACATATGTGTGAGAAATTATGTGTGTGTTTTATTTGATTGAATTCTAATAGAAAGATTTTCAAATTTGAAGTAACTTTCCTTCTTTCTTAATATATAGGAAACAAGAAAAATTGCTCACTTCTATTTTAAAAAATTGTTCGGTATATTTTTAACTGTTTAATGCTGTCAGAATAATTTTTCAATCCATTAATAAAGATTTAGCAGTTATCTACTGTTTGAAAAGAAATGAGTTTCAAACTATAATTGGGAAATACCTCAAGGTCTTGTTTGATCCTCCCTCAAAAAATATTTGTCACACTCCCAAGTATGTCCACATACAGAAATGGCTGCTTTAGTCTCTAGACAGATGTTTGAAACTATGTGTACAATCATGGGAACTGACATGCCACTAATATACACATTTTATTTTAGTCCCAATACATTTATATATTCAGCAAATGTTATGGGGAGAAAACTAAAAGAATGACAAAGTGTTGAGATGAGACTGGTCATCTTCGTATAACAGTCAGCTTTCGTCACCAGCACCTAACACAGTGCTTGGACCATATTTGGTCCACAATAACTATTAGAAGAATTGAAATATATGACTTAGGGTGGAAGAGCAAGTATTTGGAGATGTACAAAGCAAATTCTCCTAGAATTTGGTTGTATAAGTACTTTTGGTTAAAGTCTTCAAGAGAAAATAATATTGAAGCTAATTTTCAAAGGCCGAGTGTGATTTGATCGTATGAACTATGCCAGTGCCAGCTGGGATCAATCAGTGATGCCAATAGGGCCAAGAGTTTTAAACAGTGACACCAGGGAATTTTATGTCACTACCATCTAAGATATGTTTAAGAATATTATTGAAATAGCCTCAACATTACTTTATAAATTCTTAAAATTATAACAGGTATTAAATTATATAAATTATAATAGGTTATGCTTTCTTTATATAGTCTTACCTCTGGGTGTTAGGTCAAGGAATTTATTCCCTACTGTATAAAAGGATATTTCTCATTACTTGTCTGAAAGCTTTTATGACAGTGTTGTGTCATCTCACTTGGGGATTTTACCGAGTTCCCACTTTTCAGATTTTACAGTAATGAAGCCAGACCAGGGTAAACCCCTGAAAGAAATACATTGTTAGCACTTCTTTATCCACTGAAATACCTGATCATTTCTGAACTCTACGGATATATATGACAAAACATTCCATCCAAATTAATTCAACTGAGTGATTTTTCAGTATTTTTAAAATTTATTTTTATGTCTTTGTTATAGAGCCCCAGAATAATAATTTTTGGTGATTTTAACAAATCATGGCTTATGATTCCAGTCAGCATATATCAAAAGCTCTGGAAGATGACGGAGGTATGGCATTCCTCCACAAAAGCTGGTGATTTCCCTCCATTTTTACTATGCCCTGATGCTGCTGCTGCTTTATGTTTCAACAATAAACATACTTTCAACTTTATATCTTGTCAGTATGTGACAATTTGTATATATGACACCAATTTTTCCAAATAAAAATTAAAATATTTTAGTTAATCAACCAGATATTTGATCTAGAATGATTGGAACCATCCAGGTAATTGTATTTCTACCCTGCATTCACTAGCCAGAGCAATTTATTTTCCTCATGCCATCAGTATTTTAAAAATAATGCTAGAGATCCCTTAGAACGGACTAGAAAATGTATTCAGCATTTTAGCAAAGTTTTGCTGTAGCATACATACAAGGGATAATATTCAGAGAAGTAAATACTGTGTTTTCAAACGATTCAAGGGCAGTTTTTCACAGCACCTTGATGAAGGTGGAACAAAGATTACACAAACATTAGAAATGACATTACCCAAAGGTTGAATTTTGAATATTTATTATCATTTTTGAATTTGATGAAGTACTGAATAGCAATGCGGAATTTTCTATTGCCAGTTAATTTTTTGACAGTTTTTTAAAAGCCAATTCTATTTTAAGAAGTTTTATATTCCATTCTTATTTTATTTATATTTATTTGCCAGTAACTGTTAGGTCAATTCTTTATATGAAGTAAATGTTTATAAGTAGTTTAAAATCCCATGCTCCCTAATGAAAAAATTTTTAAGACTAAAATTTTTCAAGAAAATCCAAACCTTTAGTAAGGCATGTGGTTAGAGTGATAGTTTGTTGAAGCTGAATGACTTAAAGAAATGTATATTTGAAGTCTAGAATAGAATAGAAATAGTAGTTATATTAGGGTTCTCTAAAGGGACAGAAATAATAGGATAGATGTATATATAAAGGGGCATTTATTAAGGAGTATTAAGTCACAGGATCACAAAGTGAGGTCCTACAATAGGCTGTCTGGAAGCTGAGGAGCAAGGCCAGACTGAGTCCCAAAGCTGAAGAACTTGGAGTCTGATGTTTGAGGGCAGAAAGCATCCAGCACAGGAGAAAGATGTAGGCTTGGAGGCTAAGCCAGTTGATTCTCTCAACGTTCTTCTGCCTCCTTTTATTCTGGCCATGCTGACAGCTGATTACATTGTGCTTACCCAGATTGAGGGTGGGTCTGCCTTTCCCAGTCCACTGACTCAAATGTTAATCTCCTTTGGCAACACCCTCACAGATACACCCAGGAACAATGCTTTGTATCCTTCAATTCCATCAAGTTGACACTCAATATTAACCATCACAGTAGTCTGGTGACTGTATTTTTGTATTAACTATGTATTGTTAATTTGCAGCATAAACATTTATATATTGCCTCAGTTAGAAGGCAAAATCAGAATATGCAATATAAAAGGAGACATTTATGGAATTAAATGTGAAAGTAGAGTATGACCAAAACATAGCCATTGTTCCAGAGACCTGTCTTTATTTAGAGTGATGTGCCCTCTTCTTCTTTGGTCTCCCTTCCTTCCTCCTTTTCACTTCTCTTTTATTATTTTTTTGCCAGTTTTACTTTATAAACACAATATTCTAAATTCATCACAATCCAAAATGCTTTCTTGGAAATGAAACCCCAGTTATGAAATATGATTTGACTGTCATCTATGTACTGAGTTCACCTTTTGAACATTTTAACTGATTCCGTCTCCGCCTGAGCAAGGGTATTATGAATGCATCTGCCTGCCTCACGGAAAGGATAGTTATGTAATTGTTCCCATGTGCTTCTGAAGTGCATTTGGCATCTGTATAAAGAATACTTTGGAAATACAATTTATATAGAATGTTTATCAGCACTTCCACTGGATTTCCTTGTAAGCCCAGTCGATGTATATATCACATGGGGTGATTTAATAGATAAGCCCAACCCATCAACACAGTCAGTTTTAGGTGATGGCTATGAAGTGTTTATGCTCAATGAGAAAGAACACATTGTAAAGGCAACAGTATTTTATTTTCTACTGTATAAACACATTGTAAAATCAGCAGTGAAGGTTATATTTTTGGACGCTCTGAATGTATTTGTATTTACATCACTGACATCTTGTGGAAAATCACAGAGTCAGGGTCTGCATGGAGTAGGTTCAGAGTGAAGGCTTTGAAGCCTGATGGACTCCACCACTTACCATAAAACCTGAACGAGTTACTTCTGTTTTCTGAAACCTCTCCCTTCTTCCGTTGGCTTTCCAGTGGTCCTGTACTCTCCTTCTCTGCTGATATGGTTTGGCTCTGTGTCCCCACCCAAATCTCATCTCAAATTGTAATCTCCATATGTCAGGGGAGGTACCTGATGGGAGGTGACTGGATCATGAGGGCAGAGTTCCCCACACTGTTCTCATGATAGTGAGTGAGTTCTCACAAGATCTGATGGTTTAAAAGTGTGGCACCTCCCCCATCATTCTCTCTCCCGTGCTGCCATGTAACATGTGCCTTGCTTCCCCTTTACCTTCTGTCATGATTGTAAGTTTCCTGAGGCCTCCCCAGCCATGTGGCACTGTGGTCAACTAAACCTCTTTTCTTTATAAATTACCCAGTTTCCGGTAGTTCTTTATAGCAGTGTGAAAACGGACTAATACATCCCCTTGAGGTATACACCTACTGCTTTCAGGTAACATAATTTTTGATGGTGCTGGATTTAGTGATTTTAAAAATCCACTCTGATTTTAAAGTTCAGAAGTCTATGATTTAATGATGTTCCCAGGATAACCTAATTATTGCAGAACCCAGATTAATTCCTCTTCTGCTTGTTTATCAAAGTAAATTCTCTCTCTCTCTCTCTCTCTCCTCTCTCTCTCACACACACACACGTCTAAAACAGCATCATAGAAGGTAAGATGAATCAGTAAAGGACTCTTATAGAGATTTCCTGTTTTACCTTAATGTTGATGATGATATTGGTATGTATTGCCTGAGTATGTGTATTTGTAGAAAGGCGTCAAAATCTTTTGCTTTAGTAGAAAACTACCTTCCTTACCTCAAAAGCCTGTCCTCATTCTGTACTATTTAGCAGCATAATTGAATTCATGTCTCCCAGTTCTTTCCAAAGCTTGGAGCTTGGGGCAATTGCCCTAGTTTACTGGATCTGAGGAGAAGCTCTTCAGTGTTTATATAACTCAAAACTGTGGAGGTTCAAAATTAGAGGATTTTTTGTTTTATTTTATTGTGGTTCAGAGAAGATAGAGGTTCACAACGTTTCACAGGAATACATGGGAGATAAAATTAATAGCACTGACAGTTACTCTATATTTGTATCTCTAGAGAAGGCTGCATATCTGATCATCAAATTCATTAGCATATCTGTTGTGGAAAATGGTGATTAATCTGATTAAAGGCATTTTTGTTTTCTTCCCTTAACATGAATTTTCAAACATCCCTGTTTGTCGCCAGGAAGTAGCTTTGAATTTACTTATTTTTAACTGCAGCAATTCAGACAATGTTTGTAGTAGCATAATAATGTATTCTCTTTGTATGTCAGTTCTCATTTGGTTACTACTGCAATAAACTCAAGATTTAAGTGGATGAATAAATATATTGAATTAATATAAGTAATTATTCCTAACGTATTCTGAGGTATTGAGCTGCCATTTGGATATTTTTGCAGCCTAACAAAAAAACTTGTAATTCAAAACTTAAATGGGCCATTTTATATCAGATTGATAGCACCAGTTATGCAGTTTCACATACTTCGAGTTCAGAAAAGTCTTTTTATTAGACGGAGTCAAGGAAGAAAGATAGGAAGAGCCAGATCTTACGACATGCAGAGAAAGAACAGATGGAGGAATTTGCCTTTTCTGTGGCCAAGAACAGGGTTGAGAAATATCCCAGGAAGAACTTGCCCAAGGTTGTAACTGGAATGCTGGTTGAAGGTATCTGTTTCTGTGTGACAGAGAGAAACACTGGGTGCTGTCTGGGAACCAGGTGATGTTCACTGTTGCAGATGGAGTCAGAAGTTGCTACCCTTTATCTCCTATTGCAAACAAAATGTCATTGAAAAGCTGTCCCTTCTTCTCCCCTCCCACTCAGAAAAGCTTAGGCTTGACTAGAGGGGATGGTGTCTCAATTATGAAACATTCCACGAAACGTGAGAAAAACGAGAATAGAAACTAGAGGCATAGACAAGCCAAAAGTATGCTAAGATAGCAGAGGTCAGTACCTACTTGAACTTCTTCGAGTTGTAACCACTTGAAATGGCAAAAGCACCAGAAACGGCCAGGCATGGTGGCTCAAGCCTGTAATCTCAACATTTTGGGAGGCCAAGGCGGGCGGATCACTTGAGGCCAGGCGTTCAAGACCAGCTTAGCCAACATGGCCAAGCCCCGTCTCTACTAAAAATAAAAAAATTAGTCAGGCATGGTGGCATGCACCTATAATCCCAGCCACTCAGGAGGCTGAGGCAGGCATGGCTTGAACCTAGGAGGCCGAGGTTGCAGTGAGCTGAGATCACGCCACTGCACTCCAGCCTGGATAATAGAGAGAGACTGTCTCAAAGAAACAGAAAACAAACAAAAAACAGAAAGAAAAACACTGAATTTGCAATGTATCAAACATACACACACTGTATTTCATTGGATGAATATATCACATTTTGTTTATCCATTCATCTGTTAATGGAACAGATTTTTGATCGCTTTTAAAATTAGGGCATCTGTTAAGTCTTTTTTGCCCGCTCCCTCCCGATTTAGATGGGTGTTCAAATATATTTCTCTGAATACTGGCATATCATTGGTTATATGGGTTGCAAAATCTACTCTTACTCTGTGACTAGCTTTTTCAGTACATGTTTTGGTGTCTTTTAAAGAACAGACATTCTTAATTGATACAGTTTTAACACTTTTTTTTTTCCTTTTTGACTAGCATTTTAATGTCATGGCTAAGAATTATTTTCTTACTTAGTGTCATAAAGATATACTCTGTTATTTTCTATAAACTATACAGTTTACCTTTCATATTTTGACCCATTATTTAGCTGTAAAAAGGAATGAAGTTCTGATATGTGCTTCAACATGTATAAACCTTGAAAACATTATAAGTGAAATGAGCCAGACACCATGCAAATTCATAGACGGAGAAAGTAGATTAGAGGTTACCAGGGCCTGTGGGAAGGAGGAAATGGGGAGGTTTTGCTTAGTGGTTGTAGAGTTTCTGTTTGAAGTGATGAAAAATTAGAAATAGTTGGTGATGATGGTTGCACAACATTGTAAATGTAATTAATACCACTGAGTTGTACACTTAAAGTGGTTAAAATGGCAAATTTTGTGATGTATATTTTACTCCAGTTTTTTAAAAATAATAGTGAACTATACAAAAACATTTGAATTGTACTTTAAATGAATGAGTTATGTGGTATTTCAATAAAGCTGTTAAAAAATACACGCACAGAAGCACCATATGGGAGACGTACCTCCTGAAACAGGGTTGGCACATCATAGGTTTGTTCATTCATTTAGTAAAAAGATATCAAGCATTTTTCACTCTGCTACTAAGCTGGACAAACAGAAGTATACACAGGAATGTCTCCTAATGAGCCAGACAGAATTCCCCTTGGCTACAAACTTATGCAGAATTTAACAATGGGCACTATAATTAAATCTGAATTAGCAACCCAGGGGCAGCCTTTCAACCCTTCCCAACCCCTGCACTGAGAGAAAACAGTGATACCCTCTATGCTTATCCCACCCAGATGTGTACCCAGGCCCAGTATAAATAGGACTGTACTCCTCCAGGCCTCTGGGCCAGCTACCTGGTCCAGAGAAGCATGCTCACCTTGTCCAAGACAGTGGAAAAGCCTAGCCCAGGAAAGAGGAAGCCACATGAGTCAGACATTACACCCAAGCATATGTGGACACCTGGAACCTCTCTGAGTTGCTGATCTGGACAAAACCTAGATCTAGAAGTGAAGATGCCAAGACACTGTCAAAATGTAATTCATAACACAGTGGATCTGTACAATCCTTTGCTGCTGTAATAGTGAATGTTTCTGATGTAACCCCCATTAGTCGGTCTTTTGAGATGACACAATGCCCTTATCAAACAGAAACAAATGGCAAACAAGCAAAATCAAATTAGGAGTTAGTGTATTGTCCTTCAAATACCATTTCATTCTGATGTTTCTCCTCAGGCTATCACCCATTTAGGCCAATCCCTTGCAGAAGCTAAATCTCCCATACAGTGAAATGACAACTGATATTCAAAATGATTTGTTTTCAAAGCAAAATTGTGTTTAAGCCTTCTAGGTGTTAGCCAGTTTGCTAGAGGTTAGGAAAATCAAGATATATAAGCTAAGATCCTGTTCTCATTTTAGTAGAAGAGACAAATAAATGTCAGAGGGGTACTATCTTGGAAACGGATTAGTTGACCTGAAATGCAGGGAAGAAATTGGTGAATCAACAACAGCAGAGTCTTCAGGGAGGAAGGCTGTTCAAGCAGTTTTGAAGGATTAGTTGTTCCTTAGGCAGACAAGACCTCAGAAGAGAGAGAAGAAAAAGGCACCTGAGAAATGCTTAAAAGTGGGAGTTTTTATAATGTAAATTGGAAAAGGTCAATAAATTAATTAGAGTTGGATTTGAATTAACTGATCTTAAAATAATAACAATACTGTAACAATCTAGTGCTAAATATTTATGGAAAATGTTCACTTGGGGGAGAGAGGGATGTTACATTTGTAAAAAGATACTTTGTATTTAGTTTATCAAAATAATGGATGATAAAGATATAAAGATATTTAAGAATCATGTCCTAATGAAATTGCTGACAGTTATTAAGAAAAAGGCTTTTTATTTTTAAGTAAAAGTTACATATGAAGATTGTATTTATTTAGGAATGTTTACGATTTATATTTGCTTAGGAATGTCAGACATTTTGAAGAACACACAACTTCAAAAACACAAATAGTATTTTACAGCCACTGTGAAACTCCCTAGCTCCAAATACTCTTTTTTGCCATTGAAATTTGTTTAGATGGATTTATTGAAGTATAATGTACACAGAGTCAAATTCACCATTTTCAGTTGTACAGGTTGAGTTTTGACAATTATGAACAGTTGTGTCACCACCACCACAATCAAGATCTGTAATATTTTTGTCACCTGAAAATGGCCCATGTCCCATGGTGCTTCCCTGTAGTTGATCCCCTCCCCTATCCTCATGCTCTGGCAATACTGAGCTGTTTTCTGCCCTTGTAGTTTTGCATTTTTGTGAGTATCATATAATGGAATCATGCAGTATACAGCCTTGTGTGTCTCGCTTCTTTCACTTAGCATAATGCTTTACATATTCGTTCACGTTGTTGAATGTATCCATAGTCCACTCATTTTTATTGTGAGAGGTTTTCCATCATATGAAACTCCTGTAATTTGGTTTATTCATTCAATGGGCATTTGCTCATTTAAATTTTTCTGGTTTTTAGTTATTACGGATAAAGCTACCATGAACTATGAACATGTGAGTATAGCTCTGTGTTGTTATTTCCTTGGCATAAATACCTATGAGTGTGGTAAGTGTATGTTTAACTTTATATGGATCTTCCAAACTATTTTCCAAAGTGGCTGATCCTTTGTGCATTCCCATCAACAATACATGAGAGTTCCAGATCTTTACCAGCATTCTCTGTTGCCTGTTGTCCTCGTTGTTGCTGTGTAATTTTAGTCTTTTTAGTGGATGTGTTTTGATATATCATTATGGGTTTGATTTGCTTTTTCCTAATGACTAATGATGCTGAGCATCTTTTTATGTGCTCATGTGCCATTCAAACCTCTTCTTCAGTGACCTATCTCTTCATATCTTTTGCCCATGTTGTATTGAGTTATTTTTCTTCTTATCGGTGAATGTATAACGTGTTTTAAATACATATTTCGACATTTATCATGTACGTGTTTTGCAAATAATTTCTCCCACTCAGAGGTTTAACTTTTCAGTTTCTTAAAGTGTTTATCCAAGAGTTTTTAATTTTAATGAAGTCCAGTTTATCAATTTGTTTTCTTTTATGGTTCATGCTTTTTGTGTTCTAATAAATTGCTGACTAATCTTTGTCACAATTTTTTTATGTTTTCTTTTAGAAATATTACAGGCTTCACATTTAGGTCTATGATCTGTTTTGAGTTAATTATTTTGGATGGTGCAAGGTAACAGCCCAAGTTCTTTTGTTTTTTGCTTATGGATTCTCTGTTGTTCTAGCACAATTTATTGAAAACTAATCTTTCCGCATTAAATTATTTTGACATCTTTATTGCAAATCAATTGACCCTATATGTATGGGTCTCTTTCCGGACTCTATTGTGTTCTATGGATGTATATGGCTATCTTTATGATAATATCAAATTATCTTTATTACTGTAGCTTTGTAATAAGTCTTGAAATCAGGTATTATGAGACTTCCATTTTGTTTTACTTTTTCTAAATTGTTTTAGCTATTTCTGGACTTTTTTAAAATTTCAACTTTTATTTTAGATTCAGGGGGTACATGTGCAGGTATATTACCTGGGTGTACTGCATGATGCTGAGGTTTGGGTTATGAATGATCCCATTGCCCAGGTACTGAGCCTAGTGCCGGGTGGTCAGTTTTTCAACCCTTTCTCTCCTCCCTCTCTCCTCTCTAGTAGTCCTCATTTTCTGTCTTTGGCTTCTTTGTGTCCATGAGTATCCAGTGTTTAGCTCCCACTTCTAAGTGAGGGCATGTGGTATTTGTTTTTCTGTTCCTGTGTTAATTTGCTTAGACGAATGGTCTGGCCCTTTGTTTTTTGTATAAATTATGATATCAGACTGTGGATTTTTTCAAAACCAAAAAGTCCTGCTGGGTTTTCATTGAGATTATTTTAATTCTATACATCAAATTATGGGAGATTGACATTATAGCAATATTGGGTTTTTCAGTTTAATATTCTTTAATTTTTCTTATCAATGTTGTGTAGTTTTCTACCTTCAGGTCTCCCACATATTTTGTCAAACTCATTCTTAAGAACCTTGTGGGGTGTTTATTTTTTGTAGGGGGAGGGGACGAAGTCTTGCTGTGTCGCCAGGCTGGCATGCAGTGGCTCGATCTGGGCTCACTGCAATCTCCGCCTCCTAGGTTCAAGCGATTCCCCTGCCTCAGCCTCCCGAGTAGCTGGGACTGCAGGCATGCACCACTATGCCTGGCTAATTTTTTGTATTTTAGTAGACACGGGGTTTCACCATGTTGACCAGGATGGTCTCGAGCTCCTAACCTCCTGATACTCCTGCCTCGGCCTCCCAAAGTGCTGGGACTACAGGTGTGAGCCACCATGCCCAGCCGGTTTTTTTATGATATTGGAAATGTTTACATTTAATTTCCAAGGGTTCACTGCTAGTATATAAAAAAATGCAGTTTATTTTTGTATGAAATAATTGCTTTAAATGTTTTATTAAAATATAAATATGAAAATAATTGTCTTAAAATGTAATTTTTGATAACAAGCTATCTTAGAAGCAACTGTTGGTAGGGTTGTGTTGTTTTGGAGGCTCTGAGGCAGAATCTGTTCCTTGCCTCTCTCCCAGCTTCTAACTCTCAGGAATCCTTGGTGTTCCTTGACTTGGGGCTCCATTGCTCTAATCTCTGCTTCTATCCTCACATGGCCTTCTCCGTTGTGTCTCTGTGTCCCAAATCACTGTCTCCTTTCTCTTATAATAGCACCAGTCCCCAGATTTAGGGCCCACCCTAAATCCAGAATTATCTCATCCTAAGATTTAAAATTTAATTACATTTGCAGAAACCCCATTTCCAAATAGGGTCCCATCCACAGTTATCGGGGTTAAGACTTGACCGTATTTTTGTTTTGGAAGGGACACTATTCAATCCACTACAAATGTCTAGATAGAAATTAACTGTGAAAATAAAGACATTGCTCCATATTAAGTATTATATCATTGTTCAATGTAAAGAATATAAAAAAGACACAACTTGGACATGTGATGTATTTGTGTTTATAGATAATCTGACATACATAGGGATTATTCTGTCCCTCTTTTCCGTTTCTACATTTTTAGAAAACTTTACTGTTTGTTAAATTTTATATAACTTAAAACAGCTATAGGTTTTGGGGTAAGAGGATTTTTAGCAATTTTATATCATATTAGAAACTTAACTTTGAGGTAGGGGTGAATATTCTGGCTCTGATTATTGATTTTTGTTTTTTATTAGGCCTGTTATTTTAAAAGGAAAAAAATACTTAAATCAGAAATAGAAAGTACCCTCAGTGTTTTATTTCTGTTCTTGTTTTTTGTTTTTCTCCTTATATGAAGGAAGCACATCTAAATGAGGAGAGTGGGGTAGCAAAATACCATTTCTATGGCAACGGTTCCATTATGCTTGTACTTCAGTAGTAATTTCTATAGCACATTAGATCACTATAGTTGGCACCTTCAAAGCACTCAAACTGGGGAAATAACACATCAATATCTATTATGTCACTTCAGCACAAATTCTGGGAAGGTATCTCCAAGTAAAAAATATTTTAAACTGGTCACCTTAATAGTGTGTTTTAGGTTTTTAAAATAATAGAGTTATGATTTATTTAAACTTTTTCTTAATCTTCAAACAATTACTTCTTTTTACTATGACTGCTAAAGAATGATAATTACCTTACTGATCCAACTAAGTGCCAGACACTGATTTACTGCTTCAATGTATTCTTTCCATTCCTGTAACACACCTGGGTTATCATTACTATTAGTTTTATTTTCAGATCCTGGAGCCAAAGTTACCAAGAAGTTAAGAGCGCTTTAATCATTTACCCCTTCAACAAATATTTATTAAGCCAGCCACTTTTCTAAGTATCAAACATACAACAATGAAAAACACTGAGTGAGAAACTGGTAGGGCCAGAGATTCAAACTCACATCCGTGTGACCCCAAATAAGGAACACATCTGCGCTCCTTCCAATAAATACTTGCTGACTGTTTGCCAAACTATTAATTCCTTATAAATACTTTATTTGACATGAACTGGCGTTTTGTAGTACAGTGGAGCAGCATGACCTTGTCCCTGCCAAGGAATTTGCTTTTGAACATACATGACATTTGTGTAAAAGCCATTGGTAGGAACCAAGGACATTTTGTTTTAAAACATTAACATTAAAATAAATAAACTTCTGTATGCCAGATGCTACTTGCATAATGTGTTCTAAGTGATCAGTATTGTTTTTCTTAGCTTAAAGGTAAGACATTAGGCTTGGAAAGGTTAAGGTAATTGCTCCGCCTGAGGCTGGTTCCCTCCACCTGTGCTTGGTTTGTATCTCCTCCTCTCCGAGGCTGATTACCCTGGCACCATTACTGTCTCCCCTATCTCTAGCCTGTTTCCTTTTACAAGTGGCTTCTTTTTGGCATTTCAACTTGCTTAAGTATCTCTCATCTAAAAACTAGCCAACGTTTTCCCTTTACCCTTCTATTCCCCTTCAGCTCTGAAGCAAAACAATTTGAAAGCATTTTCTACGTTTGCTGTCATTACTTTCTCCTCTCCTATCTATTCCCCACCATCTTCATTTGTTTTCTCCCCTTCTACTCAAATTGCACTTTCCAAAGGCTTTGCCGACGTGATGCTAAAAATGGTATCTCATCACCCATGTGATGATTTTTATTTCTGATATGATTGAACATTATTTCACATTTCTTACCCATTTCCCACATATGTGTTTTTGTTGCTTGTTCCAGTATTTTGCCTATTTTCTTATTGAGGTTGCCTTATTTCTTTTACATTGTCGTATATTTAGGGAGGAAATAGACTATTTCATCACTCTTTGAGCAACATAGATCAGAATTAAGAAGTTAATACACAATCACTGATAAAGGTCAGCAGGGTGTGTCTGGATGAGGACATTGAGTAGCCAAACTATGAAGGATATTGTGCAAATATGCAATTGTCATTTTACCAAAGCTTTATTTCCCAGCAATGTGGAGCTTTTCGCTTCCTTTGCAGAAATCGCTTCCCAGTAGTCAAAATCCAGTTATGAAATAAACATGTAATCCAGTTATGCCAGTGTTTGTTGCTGCAGTATTTGGTATAAAAGTCTCTGGAGACTGACTTGTGTGCCTCATGGTGTTGTGCTGGAATGGTGGACGCTGTGGGCTTCCAGCAAGTTTATCTTGGGAAAAAATGACATGCCTCTTTGTTTGCTGGCCTCTTTTGTTCTTTCTATATGTCATGAATCTTCTACCTTCATAAATGTCTCTGTTCTTCCACTTGCTACACTATAAATGTCTCTTATCTCTGTTTTGTGGCAAAGTACCATCATAACCAACACTGGCCTGAAATTCGGAAGACTCAGTAGTTTGGGTCATTGTTCCATCCAATTTTATAGATTCATCAAATTTTACAGAGAGCATGTGTTATTTTGTGTCTCAGCACTGTATCTGGTTTGATTTCTCTGTGTTTGTAATATCCTGCCCAGTTGAATATATGCGCTTCTTGTTCTGAACCCTCTGTAACAAACTATGTTCCAAATAGTTGATTTGCCCCCTCCCAATTTATTTTTATGTGAATGCAATTTGGTTTTATATATGACTGCAATTACATTAAAGAATATAAATAGTTTATCTGCAATTTATAGTTATTACAGCTAATTAACACATTTTCATAGAAGCAATAACCCAATCTGAAGCATTTTAGTAAGAAGCTAAATATATTCTAGAAGCTGTTTGTGAAACTATTAATTTCTGCAGGAATTAATTGCCATCTCACTTGAACTGAGTAAGTAATATAACTGCAGTTTTAAAAATACACATTTATGAAAAGATACACACATGCAAAGGGTTAAATTTCAGTTATTTTGCATGGTGCCTTTTGCCCAACTATCTAAAACACAAGAAAGAACAAAATAATATCTCCTTGGAGAAAAATTTATACATTGTAAAAGGACTCTCAGCTTCTTAGTATTCTCTCTAAAAACTCTTGTGATATAAAAAGGACCTTTTTTCCCCTCCCCCAAGGTATCATTAGGAAATCAAGTTAGATCACTAACCCACTTCAGTTGAATAGACTGAGGTTCTTCAGAGGAGTTCACCATTCCAATTTTCATAATAAGAAAGTATTTGTTCAATTAAATCATGAGCATATAAACTGAATAATTAGAAAACTTTGGGTTAAAATTACAGGATGAAAAGTCACTGTTACCACCAATATTCTACTGAAAAAACTACTTTACTGTGTCTCGGACAGTGAATAAAAATGTAGAAATTCTGTACTAGACAGAATAAAAATCCTACAGAGTCTTTCTGATAATGAACCATGAGAGAGGGAAAGAAGTTACATTGGAGATACAAATTTTAAAAGGAAGAAGGAAAATCTTCTCTGACTTTTTTCTATAGCCTACTCAGGAAATGTTATGCAAAAGCAACCAGTTCCACAAGCCCTGGGGTGGATGAGGGTATCAGTTTAGAAACAGGTTGGTGATAACTCTGGGAATCAATGAAATTAACACTAGAACAGAAACAACTACCTCTGCTCATGTCAGCCATACAACATTAGCCCCAATTGGAGAGAAGCAAACACACGCCAAAAAATACCCCTACAGTCTTCTTTATGCTTATCGCAATTCATTAAACACTTACTGAGCACCTTCCCTGGTAGCTAGCATGCCAGGGAACCCCAAACCTTCCAGCTCATCAATAATTAATAAATATTTACTATATCTCATTAGTGAATATCTAAATGTCACTTAAAAGTAAAGAAAAGGCTAACAGTAACATTTTTCATTTCATAAAGCCTTCCCAGTAGTAAAATTAATAAAATAAGCTTTTTACTGCTCTTCTTTTTTAAAGAGTTTTATTAATCAGGATAGTTGAGGTTTTGCTGGATTTCTACTGGGTTTTACTTATTGTTTTCACTCAGAACTGGCATGAATGTCCTTGTCATACTTTAAAGTTAACATTGCAGTTTAAAAGCATGTTGGCTTCAGCCATCAAAAGGAGTAAAGTACTGATACATGCTACAATATGGATAAGTCTTGAAGACATTATATTAATTGAAGAAGCCAAACACAGAAGGTCATGTGTTGTATGGCTCGGCTTAAATAAAATACCCAGAGTACCTAAATCTACAGAGACAAAACACAGACTGTTGGTTGCCAGGGGCAAGGAGGAACGGGGAATGTGGAGCAATTGCATAAGGTGTATAGGGTTTCCCTTTGGAGTGATGAAAATGTTTTGGAACTAGATGGAAATAGTGGTTGCAAAACGTTGTGAATGTGTTAACTGCCGCTGAATCATTCACTTTTAAATGGTTGATTTTATGTTATATAAATTTAACCTCAATTAAAAAAATTGTACCATAATTTTTTTTTATTTTTTAAGTCAAAAAAAGCACAGTGGTTAATTGTATATGTTTTCTGTATTTGTTTACATTTTATAGATGAAACAGTAGTGTTTATAATATCTGGCCAGCATTTTATTCAATAAATGTCAGTGAAAAAACTATTTGAGATCTGTGTAATTACTGATTTTTTTTTTTTCATTCAGGAATCACCATGCTATTAGAGATTTTCACCTAGGCTTTTACCCATCTGTCTGTATTATCTCACTATACAATCACCTACCTTAAATTTTAAATCTTCCCAGGGACCTCTGTATTCATTTATATTTAAGTAATTCTGGGATGTTGGAAGCTTGCAGTTGGTATGACCCCCGTAGTGGAATCATTCTGGAATATGTTTACATGCTGGTCTTCATCTTACACATCATTAATGAAGGTGTCAACTAGAAAGGTCACTAGCAGCAATGCCTACAGCACCCCACTGATCATCTGAGTGGAATTTGATATATTGCCTTTGATAATTGCCCTGTCCTTGTCAACTAATTTTCAGTTCATGTTGGGGTCCTTGTGGTCAATACCATTAAAATTAATTTTTCTCGTTTTATGGTAGTGAGATGCTACCTAATTCCATGCAGGCGAAACCTAGGTACCAAACTTTCTTTGCTACTATTGAGTGTTATCGCTGACAGCATTTATGTTTAATTGCTATGATAGTTAATGACAATGGTTTTCATCATAATGGAGGGCATTTTTTTTTCCTGTATCACCTTGTGCTGCCTGTTTCTTTTCTTGGCTATAATCTATAAACTGTTTTGCTGCTCATTAGTACCTCTAAGGCCTGAGGAAATAACAAGGGCAAACTCAACTTCTGTTCATTTTGCCTGGCTAGCAGCCTGTAATCAGTCTAGGAGGCAAGAGTGAGGATTGATAGTATTGAGTTAAATGGATGTATGGTTTATCCATCAGTGTAAGAGCTAGCTTCCATGATATGGACAATTAAGATTACAATCAGTCTTGGAGTTGAGAGGACTCTTGGAGTGATCCTCTGCCTCTGTGTTTCTCAACAGGAGTATGTGCTGCTGGAGATGGGGGAGGGACAGTTATTTGTCTTGCAAGACCCTTCCGTACACTAAAGGACATTGAGTACCCCAGACCTGCAGTACTGAATGCTGATATTTGCCAGGACATCCCAAAGTGCCCCACACATTTCTGGGTGTTTCCGAGTGGAGCAGACCCACACGTTATCACTTTACTTGATGAGCAAACTGAGGTCCAGAAAGGTTTGGTGCCTTGCCCAAGGGTGTATGTCCAGGAAGTGGCAAAACTGGTATTAGAACCAAAATTATCTTATCTGGTCCAGTGCTGCTTCTATCAGCAAAGCTCTTTTCATTTAAATGTTTTAGAGTAGAATCTCAAGCGGGCCCTCGGGACTGGCCTGAAATTCAACTACCTTTTCCTACTTGATTTACTTGTTTGTTTCATACTTTCTCCTTCCTCCTCAATCCTCTATCACTCCCTACTTCCCTTCACTTCTTTTATTCTTATTTCACTGAGAAAATAGAGCAGAACAGTCTGGTCTTCACACCGTCAGTCTTGCAGTGTACCTGCATTTACACCCACGTGCGCTGTCTTCCTTCCTATTACAAGTAATGAACTCTTCCTGCTCCTGCCGAGAGCCCAGTTCCTCCCTCATAGACAAGAACTGTGCTGTATGAATTACTCTTTGTTCTCTCTTGCTTTTTCAGACTCTCCCTCCCACTGGACATATAACGTATAACCCATACTGAACTACCCATATATGTCCTATCAACATATAACCATACCGAACTACCTTCATAGTAAAAGGTGTTCTCTCATGGCCCCTACCTCTATTGTTATGATGTTTCTCTGCTTCCCTGAAAGAATTCTCTCCTGAGAGAGTTGTTAGTTGCTCTCCCACCTCCTCCAATCCAATTGGCTCCTCAACCCCCTTCTAACCAGGTTTTCTTTCTTCACCATCCTCACAGAGTCACTCTTGTCGAAGTTACCAACAACCTCCTCCTTGCCAAATCCATCAATTCTCAGACCTCATCCTAAACTCCCAGCCAGATTTGACAGGGTGACCCCCCTGTTCTTCATGAAACATTTTATTAATTTGGCCTTCCAGGCATGATTTTCTTTATTTCCCTCTCACCTCATTGGTTTATCTTTCTTGGGCTTCTTTGTAGGCTCCTCCTCCTCTGCTGAGCCTGAGATATGAACCTCTCAGGAGCCTAATTCTTAGCCCTTCTATTTTTAACAATACAACCAGAAAACAAAACAAAACAAAACAAAAAAAAGCTTAAAAAAAAATCAAATGTCTTTCCTTTGCTTAAAAACCCCTAAAAGCCATAACACTTAGAATGAAATTCAAACCCCTTATTTAGAACTACAAAGCCTTACGTAATCTAGCCCTTCTAGATTACTCTTTCAGCCACCCTAACCATTCTCTTTGTCGTTCGTCCTTGAACACTCTTAGTTTCTTCCTGCTTTAAGTCTTTGCTCTTTCTTCCTGAAATGTGCTTTACCCAGATTTTCTCAAAAGTTCTCCTTTTTCATCATCCAGGTTCTTCCTCAAATATCTCTTCCTCACAGAAACCTTCCCTGACCCTGTTGTCTAAACTACTATATCCCCGTTCCATTGCCCCATGTTCCTGAACAGTGCTTTATCCTTATTCATAGAAGATATCTGTCCCTGAAATGATATATTTATTTATTTGCTGTTAATGAGAGGTAATATGATAGAGTGATTTAACACATAGATTCTAGTTCCGTGAGTCCTGGATGCAGCCACTGACTAGCTCTGTGACCTTGACAAGACACAACCTCTGTGTTCCTCAGTGTCCTAATCTTTACAGTGGAGATGTTGTTTAATTCTTACAGGTTTTTTGTTGTAAAGTGAATTAACATATATAACATGCTTAGAATAAATGACTCACTTGGCAAGTGATAGCACATTATATTATTTTAAATGTTGTTTGAAACTTTCATTGGAAATAAGCTTCAAGAAGATGACTAGTGTGTCATTCTTGTGTACCACTATTTTTCTAATTCCGGAAGCAGTGCCAGATGCATTGTATAACTCTCAGTGTCTATTTTTTGAATGAGAAAATGAATGGCATACCACGAATTGGACTTATGTCTCAGCATACTCTCAATTTGTACTTGTGACTTAAAAACAAGATAGCTTTGGGAATGGCCTGTATCAGTAGCAAAGGTTAGTCTGTCAGGAAAAAGAGGTGACTTAGAATATTTGTAAAATAAAACAACCCCATCTGCTCTAGCTGTCCATAGGGTTTTGGTAATCTTTCAATTAGGTTGGTTTCTGTTAAGACATTTTCATTCACATGGAGAGAGAATAAGAAGATACAGAATGTTTGAGGTGAACTAGGAGACACAACACTAATAAGTTAAAAGAAGTAGCTTTGTTCATTCAAGAAAGAAGAGAGTAGAAAAATAAATGAATGGCAGAATCAGAACTGGGGCTTGAATGTTTCGCTCTATCTAGTTGCTTCTATAATCATTTAAGTATTGTTGCAAAAATTATTTCTCAGTATTTTCTATTTGGAATTGAATTTTCATTTCTACTTAGCTGGCTGGATTTGTCTGGGTCAGTATGTCACCCTCAAAATGAAGACATGGTCTCCTCGTTGAGAGCTTTTGAATGCCTGTGCTTTTTAGAGTATAAGAAAAGTTAATAAAATGCAGTCAAATATAATATAGAAAAATGCTTCTATGAGAGAAATAAAGCTTGTCATTGATGAGATGTTAAATATGGCATCCAGGAATCTCTATAGTTCTCTCAAAAGTGTGCACTAGATTATTCATTTGTATTTTGGGAGACTGAAATAGTCAGTGGCTTTTTCATCACTATCAAAGATATAGCAGATTTACATTAGCTATGTACTATAATCATTTGGCCAACTATGAATGAATGTAATGCATTTAATATGACCAGTCACCTTCTCCCATTCTCCATGGTGGCTCGACTAAAGGATGCTGAATCAAGAACTTATTCTCAGAACTTGATGTAAGATGTTAACACATCTATTTTGTTGGCTGCCACATGTTTTAGACCTTCATAAAACCATGGAAAGTTATAGTGGAGTGGAAATTTGAAACTTCCACAATTGCCACAACCTAAAATATGTTTATAATTTTTTCAAAAGTAGAAAGAATTTAAAAGCATATTCTCAGTAGTCTTACTTTGGAGTTTTTCCTTATTTTTTTAAAAAATAATGTAACCTGCAAACAACCCCATCAAAAAGTGGGCAAAGGATATGAACAGACGCTTATTAAAAGAAGGTGTTTATGCAGCCAACAAACATGAAAAAAAGCGCATCATCACTGGTCATTAGAGAAATGCAAATCAAAACCACAATGAGTTACCATCTCATGCCAGTTAGAATGGCAATCATTAAAAAGTCAGGAAACCACAGATGCTGGAGAGGATGTGGAGAAATAGGAATGCATTTACACTGTTGGTGGGAGTGTAAGTTAGTTCAACTATTGTGGAAGACAGTGTGGCGATTCTTCAAGGATCTAGAACCAGAAATACCATTTGACCTAGTAATCCCATTACTGGGTATATACCCAAAGAATTATAAATTATTCTAGTATAAAGATACATGCACACGTATGTTTATTGCAGCACTGTTCACAATGGCAAAAACTTGGAACCAACCCAAATGCCCATCAATGATAGACTGGACGAAGAAAATGTGGCAAACATATACCATGGAATACTATGCAGCCATAAAAAAGGATGAGTTCATGTCCTCTGCAGGGACATGGATGAAGCTGGAAACCATCATTCTTAGCAAACTATCACAGGAACAGAAAACCAAGCACCTCATGTTCTCACTCATAAGTGGGAGATGAACAATGAGAACATGTAGACACAGGGAGGGGAACATCATACACTGGAGCCTGTCGGGGGTGGAGGGCTAGGGGAGGGATAGCATTAGGATAAATACCTAATGTAGATGACAGGTTGATGGGTGCAGCAAACCACCATAGCATGCGTATACCTGTGTAACAAACCTTCACGTTCTAAACATGTATCCCAGAACTTAAAGTATAATAATAAAAAAATAATAATAATTTAACCTGAATCACTGAGAGTAGATACTGTGGGAAGATTTTTGTATTTTTTATACAACTTAAACAGATTTGTTATTGAATACTTACTGAAAAAGAGCAAGCACTGTTTCCTGTATTAATGAAGACATTTGCAAACCAGATACTTCGGAGTCATTATGCAGTGAGGCTTTGACAGTGGAGGCCTTGCCATATGGAGACATAAACTCATATGGCTATGGAATATCAATGAAATTGTTTTCTGTCAATTATTGTTTTGGAGTACAAGTGATGGCAGTTAGCAATGTGTGAACAGAGAATATCATTGTTTCTGTTTTATTCTAACTACCCATCTGTTGCTTTAACGTTATGCAGTCATTTCTGATAGAATGAGGCCTGTAGCATTGGCTCTTACATATATAATTTTTCTTAATATCATTTAATTCTGAACTCTTGATGAGATGCACCAGAAGTAAAGTTATTAAAGAGTGAATTGAAGAACTGGTTGGTTCAACAGGTAACAAAAGATGCCTTGTATCTGCTTCTGATGTCCAATTGATGTCATCAACTTCTTTGTGCTCCTTTCCCTTAATTCTGTCAGATATACCCTTGTTTTATTTACCTTTCAGAGGCAATTGTAAAGTTCTCACTTTGCCATTTTACTTTCCTTCACATTATTTTGTACACTGGATGTTAGTGGCGGATCTTTTTCTTTAGTGCCTGCTCAGGCTTCTGCTTCCATGGCAACATAACAATCTGGTAATATCTTCCTCTGCTTGCCCCCCAGTTTCTGGACTCTTTACAGTTCCTATCATAGAATCACTAGCCCTCCATGTTTCTTCCCCTCCTCAACCAGTCACTCAGCAAACCTTTTTCTAGGCATCTTGTCCTGTTCGTAAGCACATTTCTTTATCAAAAACCTGCTTGTCTTTTACCTCACCCCTTTTTGCAGTCCTACCTTACATTCTGTTCATTGCGTCTTGACCTTCAATAGCTCCATGAAAACTTGAAATAAATGTGAAACTAACATCATTATTTGTGTTTCTTCTGAAGTTTCTATTCCTTTGTTCAAATATTCTCTTAAAAAACTCAAAACCTAGGATTTGCTTTCAGACTTAAATTCAGTCTATCACTATCCTTACCTATTAGTATAAAAATGGTAAAATGTTGTTTCATCTATGCTTTTCCAGGATAACCCAAGTTCATAGATAACTTAAATATTTATTTTGAGTATCCCATGCTCTCATTTTCTGATGTCAGTTTGTACTCACTTTTTTTTGTTGCATAAACATGTACCATTTCTAAGGAGACTTGAAAATTAAAGCAGTTTGATCAATTTCAGCTGTAGTATGAATCTTCTTGAAAAAATTTGTAGGATTATTTAATTAAATCATTTTAGTATTTTTAATGTGAGTTTCTTATCATTTTTAAGATACTTAACTTTCCAGTCCAGAAATATCTTATAAATGAGTTTAAATAAGGTAATATCTCCTATATAAAGAGAATAGGACATTCTACTTTCAACACTTAGACATATACTGATCATTGATCATTCAGGCCTATTTTCAGCTTGTTTAGAAGTGCACAACATGCTCATGAGCACAAAATTAAAAATCCGCTTCTAACACTAGTATGGTGACCAGCCATTCTGGTTTGCCCCAGGAATGTAGGGATACTGGGATACAAGAATATCAGGTGTTTGTTTGTTTGTTTGTTTGTTTTTAGACAGAGTCTCCCTCTGTCGCCGAGGCTGGAGTGCAGTGGTGCGATCTCGGCTCACTGCAAGCTCCGCCCCCCGGGTTCGAGCCATTCTCCTGCCTCAGCCTCCGGACTACCTGGGACTACAGGCACCCGCCACCAAGCCCAGCTAATTTTTTGTATTTTTAGTAGAGATGGGGTTTCACCATTTTAGCCAGGATGGTCTCCATCTTCTGACCTCGTGATCCGTTCACCTTGGCCTCCCAAAGTGCTGGGATTACAGGGGTGAGCCACCACGCCCGGCCAAGAATATCAGTTTTAAAACCAGGACAGTCCCAGGCAAACTGGGATGAGATGGCACTGCAGACACTTGGTATATTGCCCTTGGAGTGGAACCACTGGCAACTTTGCCAGATTAAAAGCATTTTAATGGTTTATTTGTAGATAGCTTACATGTACATTTATACATGCAAATATTGATTAAATTGTCAACCCATAGCATATTTATTCTAATTATTGAAAATATTCTAAATATTTAAAATATTCTTACTGTCCATATATGATTTACTTTTACCTTTTTTTATATAGCTAAGTCAAGGTTAAAAAATGCCACTTTTTTTCTACGTTGGCTTATTAATAACATGTGATACTTTGTCCATTTATTCATGTATGTTATCTATATTTATTAATCAGATGCTGTCCTTCACATAAAGCACTAAGGCAACCATATTCCTTTATTTTACTAGCTCTAAAGATACTAGCACTAAACTTATGATCGTTAGACTAAAGGTACAATTATTAATAAGATTATGACTACTTCAGAAAATCTTAGCACTTACTGGATTTTTGGTAGTAATTTTAGGTTCCATTCTCGGTTTTATAAATGCCCAAGCATTTCTATAACTGCTCTCTGGTTGGTATCTCATTGTCTTTGAGAATTCCTGTTCTGTTATTCCCTGGAATTAAAGTATGTGACAAATGCTTCATCCAATCGACTCATTGTTGGTAGTCAATTCCTTGTGACTATTTCGCTGGTTGTTCGCCTATTGTGTAAGCCCCAAATCCTTTTCATTAACTTTATAAGAGAAGTATTTGTTTACAATTGCTGATAAGGTTTAGATATTTTTCCTCTCCAAATCTCATGTTGAAATGTGATTCACAATGTTGGAGATGGGGCCTAGTGGGAGGTGTTTGGGTCATGGGGGCAGATGCCTTGTGAATGGCTCAGTGTGCTCCCCGCAGTACTGAGTCCCCTATGCAAGATCTGCTTGTTAAAAAGAATCTATGACCTCCCCCATGGCTCTCTTGCTGCCTCTCTCACCATATGACATGTCTGCTCCCTCTTTGTCTTCCACCATAAGTGAAAGCTTCCCGAGGCTCTCACCAGAAGCAGATGCTGGTGTCATGCTTCTTGTACAGTAAGCAGAACCATGAGCCAAATAAACTTCTTTACTTTAAAAATTACCCAGCCACAGGTATTCCTTTATAGCCACACAATATGAACTAGTACAATTGTCAAACTGTACTCCAGGATTAAGCCCCTAATAGTAGCGAGTTGAACACAGTGCCACTGTGGGTCAAGGCAGAAACAGACCACAAGCTTCACCTTGAAGTTTAGCCTAAGAATCGGCCATATGCTTACTCTAGGTTGATAAGCTGAGTCATCAGAAAGGGACTTTGGAAGACTTATCTTCTAGGCGGTGATAAATCCTCAGATATGCCTGGGAGCTGCAGCTCTCAACACCAGTTTAGCACCAGAAGTTGGTGGCTGCGTGAAGAAATCCATCACCTAAAATGGTCCTGACATGCAGCAGGTGGTCAATAAAATTCTGGTGAATAGATCCTTCCTTGTTGTATTTAGTGTCTCAAATGGGGAGCAGGAACCATTCCCTCTACTCCATATTCTATATTTTGTGATTCAGTACTGAGTTAAACATTATTTTTAAATATTTTACTCTGCTTTTTTTCTAGTTCCTCTAACTGAACTTTTAAGTTCTTTAAAGGTTAATGCTATAATTTAAATTTCTTCATCTCTCTGCATGATATTGGCCAATGACATAACTTTTGAAAAAATACATTAAATTTTTAGTGACATGTATGAATGCAAAACACTAATACTTTTTGACTGATAGACTAATTGAATCCTTAGACATGACAGAAGTTTGAAAGGCAGAATATGTGAATTAATGTAATTTTAAATTAATTTTCCTCTGCATCTTAACGGATCTTTATAGTAAAGCCCTGATAAAGTAAGGTTTCAAAATGGTGATTGATGGTGTAGGGTAAGAATTTAATGGATTTAAGTAGTTGCTTACCTGGAATATGCTTATTTGGTAATTGTCTGCTTTATTTGGACAAGGCATCAATACATTGATTAACGGTAGAAAAATATACCCATAAAAAATACCCCTGCGTGAAGCATAGCCCACATTGCCTCCTAGGGACTTTAACATAAGAGGAAATTATCTGGTAATTTGTATAGTGATGCTCTAAAAATGATCCTTACTTATTTGAAATATAGAAAAACTGGATTTATAAAAGTCTTTCTCAATAAGAAAAAGCAATCAGAAAACATTCATTGCTGTAGTAAGAGACAAAGCCACTCCAGGTACACCCATCTCAACAGCCTGTTAACTGGGCACTCTGAGGAAGGCACAGAAAGCACAGCAAGACTGCAAGCTCCATTTTTTTCTGATAACAGATCCTTAGAAATTCAAAGATTCTAACAGATGGACCCAGGTGTGGAAAGAAGCTGGGATTCAAAAGCAAGTTTAATTGTGGCTTTACCTTGAAAATATTTTTATTTTTAGATAATTTGCCAGTGATAAAAATTGTGGAATGGTAGCTAGTCTATAATCATAGCCCAGTTCCCACCATATAAATCGGTACCTAAGACAGAATCAGTTAAAATCAACCCAGACTTGCATTGTTTTGTTTGTTTTCCTTCTTTCTCTACCCATCTTTATGTTTGCTCCTCTTCTTTGTTTTCCAGGCTTTTGCAAGTTCAAAGAATAACTAGGAATGTTGGCACTGATTAATATAATTGCATACAATTTCCTAGTGAGAATCCCAGATCACTCTCATCACTTAAGTGCTTATGGAATCTTGGATGTCAGAAAATGGCCCTTTTATAACTGGCATTCTGAAAGAAGCACAATGTTCTCTTAACTAAAATTACAACAGTTAATACCTGCAGTGAAGATGAATTTATACCTGCAAACATCGATTTATCTTTTTCTTTTTGCAGAACAGATTTCCCCCTAGAAACAAGAAAATTTTTATGACCCAATATTTTAAGAAAGAGGTTAAGATTATATGTTCTGCTTATCTCAAACAACATCCATCTTCTGGTTTAACTGCAGCAGAATCTGTTGCTGGTAATCTTGAAATACATGGCTATCACACTAGTGATTTTCTTGTAGGTAAGATGGTTATTTAAGTGAGCATTAAGTGAAGCCAAGGATTTTTTAAATGGCCTGAGACAGGAAAGGTCTATTTCATCATGTGGCCTACTTTATCCTCATTTTTAGTAGGAAAAAAAAACAGAAAATGATAATTTGTTTATCCATTTTCACGTAGTAAATTTCCAAAAGTAGATATTTATAAGTTGTATATTAGTAACCTGAAATTTAAGAGGAGGATTTTTGTTGCAGCATCAGTGATGAACATTTTAGACACATTAAAAGTACATTTACTGGCTTGCTTCTTATTTTAAAAATAATCCCCATTACAAAATGTATTCTTTTGTACCAACATATTATTAATTTCATGTCCATTCCTTTTGCTCTTAGTTGGTTACAAGTCTGTCTTCTACCCCCACAAGGTACTAATCACCTTGAGGTCTGAAACTATAACCTACTCATTTCTCTATGTATAAAAATCTGTCTGGGAGCTTATTTAATGTGCATTCAATAAATAATTGTTGTATATATTCTGAGTCCTGCCTACTCTGTTGTCATTTCTACTGGCATAATTTTGGTAGTTTCCACATAATAAAATTTTGTAAGAATTTTGCAGTTTTTGACCTAGCATTAAAATATGTCAGATAAAGAAGTTGCAAAGGAACTTGGCATTTGAAATCAAAAAGCTCTGAATAGAGCAATCTGGTCAGTCCATGTTTTGTAAATTGTGTTTCAGAATATCTTGGTGGGATACATAAAATATAATTTTAAAAAGTAAGACTAAGAAATGATAAAACATATCCTATTATTTCATTTCAAGAATCCTTTTTGTTTCAGTTATATAATGATGTATAGAGAGATAGAAATACATATCTGTGTTTGTGTGTGTATAGTGTGTAAAATTGGGTCACAATGTAAAATGTAGTTTGTTGTCAAAAAAAATTTAAAATCACTGAACTTTGAATATTTGAATGTTTCTAATAATTCTGAGCCTCAAATTTTCCATCTGCAAAATGGGCTTAAAAATAATTATTTTTAAGTTTATCCTGAGGATTAAGGGCAGTAATATGCAAAGTACCTTGCATAGTGCCTGATTGATGTAGAAGACAAGCAAAAGATGTAGCCTTTTACCAAAACTAATCCATTTAAAATTTAATTGATTAGGACCTTTTTAAGTATACACAGAATTACATGAAGACATTAATGAAACTAACTTTTCAAACACTTTTCAATTTGAAAGACGATTTTTAAAAGTTAATCAATAAAGGCATTGCTTAATTAATTCATTTTGTTTAATGATTTTTCTTTGAAGTCATTGCTTTTCAATTCAGTATAGATGATTTTAATTTATTCATTCATTCACTCAAATCATGTTTTTAGGATTTGGAATATGGCCAAAGAAACGTGAAATTTTTAGGAGAATCCAAATTTGTCCTATGAGGAACAGTTAAAGAATCTGGTGAAAACCTACTGAAGTCTAAAAATGAATATGTGGGCTGATACTCATTTCATATATTAAAAAGTTTATCTCATGCCAGAAAGATTAAATGTGGTCTTGGCAGAAGGAAGAATGAAGACCAACTTACTGGAAGTTATGGGACAGTAGATTTCAGCTCAAAATAAGAAACAAATAATTATACCTGAGATTTGTCTCAAAACATTATAGCTACCTCAGAAGGGGTGTTCCTCTGAGAAGGTAGGGTGGGTATGGTCAGATTTGGTATCATGTGAACTGTCTTTTATCTTAAAAATTCTGTGGCTAACTTTAAAGGGTCAGACACCCTGAGGAGTCCCATGTGATATATGCAAATAAGACCTTTTTTTCATAAATGAACCTTAAAATTGAATTCAGAAGATGCTGAGGACTTTGCATATTTTTGTCAGTGAGATAATCCATGAATTTATCAGGGCAATTTAAATTTATTCATAAGCATTTTGCTTATCCCTGACTTTACTCTGAATGTCTTTTTTTGTTAATTGCATTTGTTTTGAGTTCTTAATTACAAACAAAAGTAGGAAAGAAATCTGTTCATTTGATCATTTTTAGTAGTTCTACTGGGTATAAAACTTTGTGCAAATGTAGACCAGACTGGGAAATGTGAGCATGGGAACACCTATAGAGAAGAAAAATGGGAGGTGAACTGATGGTGGCTAGAAAGGAAGAGGTGACTCTCTTTAGAAAGGTTGATTAGTATTACCAAGAAGCAAAACAAAAAGTATATGGAGATTATAAGGGAGAGTTATTTTTTTCTGTATCCTTTGGGAATGCTTTATGTGGCTTTATATCTTGTCGGGAAAATAGAATAACTTAAAGGATATCCCAGATCCTTTAAGATAATGAGGTTTTAGTGCTTGAAAAGTGACCCCTCCCAGGAAAAAAAAAATTATTAGGTGAGGAATCTCAGTTGTAAAGTAGGTGAACTAATTTGTCTAAGTAATTAAGTGTAATCAAAACATACACATCTTGATTTTGAATCCGCTGTTTTAATACTAGTTTTGATAAATTATTGTCCTGAAACATTTCCCCTGCATCTGATGGCCTCAGGAAGCTGAAACTTTTCTCTCAGGTGCTTTAGCCATGGGTTGTAATTAAGTCTAGGATCTTCCATTACCCACTGTCAGTTGTAATAAACACTAACATTGTCAGAATGGATAATTCTGAATGAGGCCTTAGAGATCTTCTCATTCAAAAGTTTTCAAATGTTATTTTAACAGTGAAAACCTTTGTTCAAACAATACTGATGTAGCAGCAGCTTAATGTATAAAGCAGATTTTTACTTTGAAAAAGAGAGAGAGATGATCTAGTTGCAATGACTATTAGAGAACCTGGACCACTGCCTGTCCCCACCTCTCATTCCCACCACTGTACAACTTGACTCCCAAGAAGTACCATAATTTCTTTTTTAAAAAATCTAATTTATTGCCTTTGTTTTATAGCCAGAGTTTCTTTGAATGCAGGAGAAATAGAAAATTAATGTAGCATCCTTGGAGATAAATCCACTTTCTCAAATATGGCAAAAATAGTCTTTAGCTGTGGATTGCAGGGTGACTGCAGGGGATCCAGGGGAAGGGAAGGTGTAAATATGAGGAAATTGGTCTTTATGCTGCCCCAAACAGACATGTATAAGTATTAGTTAACATCATAGTGTAACTGACCTACCATTTCTAATACCCTTCCCAAAGAAAACAAAACCTGTGAAAATGGGCATATTTCTCTCAGTAGAAAGAATTATTAGTGCTGATGTGAAATAGTTTTATGTGGATGCCTTGTAAGGTCTGCAGCCATAGCATTTTTCCAGGGAATTCTGCAAAATAGCAATGATTTGGATAAGCCACCTGTAATCTGATAGGATAGTGTCTCTAAAGGAAGAAGCTGGTTTTCTTTTTCATGGATTATCTGGAAATCAGCTGGAGCCTCCAGAGCCTTCCCAGGATGCCTTTCAGTGATCTCTGGACAAGGGAAATGGAAGAGGGACCAAGACCAAGGAATCAGGATTGACGTTAGTTACCCATCTGAGAACGTAGTCCCAAGGCCAGGTTTAGTTGTTACTGATGTTTTTTAATGATTACATTGCCAGTAAGCTCTTAACTTATAATTGCCGGGGACCTGAGGCTCCCTCAAGGTGGTAACATATTTATAACGTGCTTTAATGCTCTTTTCGTCCTGAATCCATGACTGAATGTGTAATTTCCTTGTCCGAAGACTCATCTTGCCCACTTACCATCCTAGAGCATAAGGGCAACTCTCCCTCAGGAAGAAAATAAGTCTGCGTGCCAGTGGTGCCGATGACCAGCACATTTTTCTTCAAATCGATGGAACATTGATGTCTCCGGAGCATATCTAGGCCTAGAAGCATATCCATGGGTTGATCCTCAAGTATGGAGAAAGAGCACTGTAAGAAATCACCTTCAATTTGAATCTGAGCTAGATGAACACGGCCAATAATTCTCTGTGTGCCCACTCCTTTAGCAACCCCAGCCCACCGTCGGTCCACCAGCCTCATGATGTTACATCGCTCGGCACAAGCCTGGCTCATAATGGTCATCTGGGCGCCCGAGTCAACAAAAGCCTTCAAAGGATGCCCATTCACTTTGCAGTTAATGTAGAGCATCGTCACTTGTCCAAAACTCTCGGGGGCCTCTTCTATCGCTATATTCATGTTTTCTTCAATGTTTTGCTGCCGGATTTCCTCTTCTATTTTGGCCTGAGCTTCCCGATCCAGTGGGTCGGCTGTGTAGAGACGAAGCCTCTCTTGCTCTCTCAAGGCCTTTTCCCTTTGCTGCTCCATCAGCACCTGAGAAAAGGTCTCAAGGCTTCCGCTGAGCAGGGCTTCCGCCAAGGGAGGGTTGCGTTCCTTGAGCAGGGACAGATCGTGGGGGTTGGAGAGCAGCATGCTGCGGATCAGGGCGGGGCTGCCCAGACCTTGCAGGCCGGCCACCTTCTCTCCTGACGCCAAGCCCTGTGACCGCTGGGCAGCGGGTGTGCGCTGCTGCTGCTGTCCAGGGTGCTGTGGACGGGAGCTGGACGTCCCAGGCACCGCAATGCCACTGAAGTCTACACGAGGCTGGTTCGGGGCACGCCCTGGAGCCCGAGGTCCCACATTGTCCTTCTGCAGTAAAACCACGATATCGCCATCTTTGAGGCCGTAGGAGCCCAGGGAACAGTGGTCCTCGATGAGGAGTCGCTCCATGTGGATGATCTGGATCTCTTCGACGGGGACTCTGGACTCCGCTTCGCAGAGGACCTTGAAGTTTCGGAGCTCAAAGTCGGGGCTGACCTGGAGAGAGAAGGTGACCTCGGAGAGGTCCCTCCGCACGCAGTACACGGTGATCAGCATGGCGGGGGCCCGGGCGGGCCGGGCTAGCAGAGGGCATGGGCGGCTCACTGGCGGGCTGGGGCGGGCCTGCGTCGTTGGTGCCGCTGCTCCTCAGGACTTGGTAGGTAGGGACCGTCCGGGCTCATTCACCTCTCAGAGAGGCGCGGACACTCATCTGTCTGGGGGCTGTCTCCCAGCCTCAGTGCCTGCTGTGTGGCCAGGTGGAGCCTTGAGGTAGCACGTTGTGTTCCAAAGTCCATTTCTAAGTGTGCTGTTTGGAACCTAGAATGCCTACTCCCATGGATACACGATGGCTCAAAGCTGTCAGGTTTCAAGGCCAGCCCTTCAAAGCCTATTTAACACATGATATGAAAGAAATGATTTCAACACATTTTTTTTTGAGACAGGATCTTATCCTGTCACCCAGGCTGGAGTACAGTGGCATAATCACAGCTCACTGTAGCCTCGACCTCGTAGGCTCAAGCAGTCCTCCTCTCTCAGCCTCCTGAAAAGCTGGAACTACAGGCACAGTCTACCATGCCCGGCTAATTGTTGTATTTTTTTTTAATAGATTTGGGGTCTCACTGTGTTGTCCGGGCTGGCCTCCAACTCCTGGGCTCAAGCAATCCCCCACACTTCGGCCTCCCAAAGTGCTGGAATTACAGGTGTGAGCCACCATGCCTAGTTTTTCAACACTTTCTAAACAGCATATTATCATTTGTTTTGTTCATTTTAGAGTTGTATTCTTTGTACTTTTGTTTTTTCCCCAAACAGTAAGGATTTGTTTCTTACATGGCAAGTACCATTCTATGTGCATAGTAGGAAAGTCAGATTTGGAGCCTGCCCTTGAGGAGCTCACATTTCTGGAAAGGGATAGACAGGTGAATGGGTAATCACAATACTAAAGGCAAAATCTTTTACAAAGACATGTTCAGGGTACTGCCTTTAGTATCACCAACAGAACAGAGGATATTTTCCTAAGGAGGAGACAAGCTGGATGTTGAAGGATGAGCATCTTCCAGGTGCAAAGTGGTCTCACTCCAAAGGAAAGCAGTTTCATGTTACAAAAGCAGGAATTTATGGCAAGGGCTGTTATTTCTAGAGAAAGATGAGACATTTTGTGCAATAAAAAAATTGTACATGACTTTGAATACCAGGATATGAAGCTGGAAAAAAATTAGTTGAGCCAATTGATGAAGTCATATGTGAATCTACGGAGTTTAAATATTAAATATTATCAATTAGCAAGAATTCCTCCTCCAAAAAAAAAAAAAAAAAAAAAGAAAAAGAAGTAAGGAAGGAAAGGAAAGGGAAAAGATTTGAAGCAGGTGTTTGTGATTTTTTTTTTTAAATTGACTTAAGGAAGAGGCTTCTTGCAACACATGGAGGACATAATGTGGCAGGAGGGCCAGTCAGGAGGCTTTTCCAGTGGTTCAAAGAGGGAGCTGTTGCTAGAGTGTGGAAAGTCAGGAGGCCCAAAGCCAAAGCAGTAGAGAATAAACATGTTTCTTGAGTAAAATGGACAGAGTGTGCATACCCCTTGGAGGTGGGGAGTGTAAAAAAGTGGAATGTGTGGATAACACAGAGGGTCTCTAAAATGGGATATAGGGTAGATGGGCCATTGCCTTGAAGGGGAATGAATGAATGAGTGAGATGAACCTTTGAGGTGACCCATTTGACATCAGTTCTGTAGGAAAATTCATTAAGGATGCCACCCTAGAGGCCAATATGCCTCTCTCTGACATTTGGGCACAGCCACCTTCTCCCTACTCTCCCCCACCCCCACTTACACACACACACATACAAGGCTGTCATGGTGAAAAGTCCTTCAAGGCAAATGATGATTGGGTAGAAATCCTTGCATGCCAGTTATTTTTCTCTATGTTTAATAAAGTGTTTTGCTGCCTGGCGCGGTGGCTCATGCCTGTAATCCCAGCAGTTTGGGAGGCCAGGGTGGGCGGATCAAGAGGTCAGGAGATCGAGACCATCCTGGCTAACATGGTGAAACCCTGTCTCTACTAAAAATACAAAAAATTAGCCAGGCGTTGTGGTGGGCGCCTGTAGTCCCAGCTACTCGGGAGGCTGAGGCAGGAGAATGGCATGAACCTTGGAGGTGGAGCTTGCAGTAAGCCGAGATTGCGCCAGTGCACTCCAGCCTGGGTGACAGAGCGAGACTCCATCTCAAAAAAAAAAAAAAAGTGTTTTGCACTGTGCAGAGCTCATGTTTCCCTGGCTTGGTACTCCCAGGTGTACCTACTTATGAACCAAGATAGTCGATATCCTCTGCCTAGTTTCACCCCCTTCTTTGAAGGGTTGTTAGAAGGCCTGCACTGTTACACCATTATTCCATTATGGAGAGAAGGAAGTCACATCAGCCTAAATAATTATTTTTTGGCTCCTGTTTCTCATGTATTTGTCTCAGATGGAAGACTATGTCTCGCTCACTGCTCTAATTATCATAATGTTTCTATACTCATATTTGCTTATATTAGAAATGTTGACTGAACGCCCAGTGTATGTGAAGCATGTGCTAAGTTCTAGGGAAACAGACGTGAATAATGTTAAATATAGGCTGTATTCTTAAAGGAGCTCACAGTCTAAATTAGAGCACATGCACACACACAAATTGAAGGGTAAAAAATACCACAGTAGTGGTATTCAGGAGAAATTAATAATATCTGAAGAAGAGATGAAGAAGATGGTGAGGGATGTTGGGGAGAGAAGACATCCTGAAAGAACTGGGTTTAGAAAGATGACAAGGAGTCAGCCATGCAGGGTGCGCCAGAGTGGAGACACAAAGGTGAGAAGGAAGATGACCTGACTTAGAGCTTTCAACTGGAAAGACAGTGTTTCATCATATAAGGATTATTTTTTAATTTTAAGAAAAAAAATCTAGCATTGTAATTTTCACCATTTTTACAGATGAATGAATGACCCTTTGACTCAATAATATTATGTTATGGTTCTTTGCACCCTGACAAGTTTATCAGAGATTACTAGTGCTTTCCCCTGAGTTTGGAAACAATTATCATGTGAGATGTCACATGCAAACTACTCTGCTAAAGAACAGATTGAGAAACCAGTAAGACTTTAATTCAGTTTTCCTTTATCTTTTTTCCCCAAATAGCTTTGTACAATTTGTTCTTAAAACCATAGCGAGGAGGATTATACTGGGGCTTTTGTTTTTTTTAATAGCAAATGAAATTATTTTTGTAGAATAAGCTTCCTTTTGTTTTTCATAAAGCAAAAATTGTGAGTTCACATGAAAAGAAACTAACATCTTTTTTTCTATACCATTGCCTTCATACTGAACATATTTAAATTCTATGTGATGTGTTTTATTATCTCACTGTAATTTTTTTACTTTGGGTGGCACTTTACATTTATTTGTTTTTCAGCATTTTACCTTTTACTGAGAACAGACACTGGAAAGCAAAAAGCCTCAAGGTCTGGCCAATGAGCTGTCATCATTTCATTGGTCACAGGATGTCAGGGTTGGCAGGGATCCCTTGGATTCCATAGTCCAGCCACCCATCCACCCCTTATATCTGTTGCAAAACAGCCTGGAATCTGTAAAGGTAAACACAGCCTCCTGTGTTTAGTACTTCTGTGTATACATCATTTGATTCTTTCATTTTACCCAGCATGATTTGTGATTCAAATACCATATGTATAATTGTCCCAACTCAGAATTTTAAATGAAAACCTCTTCTGACTGTATAATGAACTTGGAGGTAATTGGAAATATATATATATATAAAATATATTACACACACACACACACACACACACACCCCTAAACATAAACTGTTGTTATACCGTAAATCCCTATCATGTAGTCTGTTGAGAAATGGGTTATCTGAATTATTGAGGTATGTAAATCTAAGTAACTGAGGTTATCAAAACTTTTCTTGAGGAATTCTTTGTGAAGTATACTCCCTTACTTTTCTCCCTTAGTAAGTACAATATAAGAATATAATTAAATTTTTTTTGATAAGTGAGATTCCTGCAGAGTCTCCAGGCTATCACTCAGAAATCAATTCTAATTGTATGGCCTAAATGCCCAGAAAACAGAAGAGATGGTACTGATTTCATACTAACCAAGTAAATAACCCCAAAGTTATTTTTTTAATAAATCCACAATACCTTTTGTAATTTGCCTCTTTCTAAAAATGTAGCAAAAAAAAAAAAGAAAAAAATCCACATAACTGATGGTTTCAGTTATGATAGTCAGTTGATGTTTAAACTACTATCTCTTGCTGTACTAAGCAAAATAATTGTCTTTTTAGTGAAAAAAAATAGAATACCTACATAAATGTCACTATGTAACATATACAGTAATTAAACTATGTTAAATAAATACATTTGCTTGCTACATTGGGATTTCTTCCTTTAAGTATGTGCTTGTATTACCTTTAACGTGTAATCAAGACTTATTAAGAGAGTTAAATCATAACTTGAGATTTTCAGTGCAATTTAGAAAAGATGCAGAATTTTAAAAGCTGTACCCTTAGGTTAAATAACTAATGTTTTCATAATTCTTTTATTTGCTTTACAGTAATACAATAAATTGTGCCAGAACAGTCATGAGCAAATAACATGTATTTCTTTGGATAGTTATTTATTTATTTATTTATTCATTATTTTTGTTGTTGTTGTTGTATATATCTGTGTTTATTTCTTTTTAATTTATTTTAAGTTCTAGGGTACATGTGCAGGATGTGCAGGTTTGTTTCATGGGTAAACATGTGCCATGGTGGTTTGCATCACCTATCAACACATCACCTAGGTATTAAGCCCAGCATGCATTAACTATTTTTCCTCATGCTCTCCCCTGCCCTTGCCCTCTCCCGACAGACCCCAGTGAGTGTTGTTTCCCTCCCTGTGTCCATGTGTTCTCATTGTTCAGCTCCCACTTATAAATGAGAACATGAGACGTTTGGCTTTCTGTTCCTGTATGAGTTTGCTGAGGATAATGGCTTCCATATTCATCCATGTCCCTGCAAAGGACATGATCTCATTCTTTTTTATGGCTGCATAGTATTTCATGATGTATATGTACCACATTTCCTTTATCCAGTCTATCATTGTTGGGCATTTGGGTTGACTCCATGTCTTTGTTATTGTGAATAGTGCTGCAATGAACATACATGTGCATATATCTTTATAATAGAATGATTTACATTTCTTGGGGCATATACTTAGTAATGAGATTTCTGGGTCAAATGGTATTTCTGGTTCTGGATCCTTGAGGAATCGCCACATTGCCTTCCACAATGGTTGAACTAATTTAAAGTCCCACCAACAGTGTAAAAGCATTCCTATTTCTCAACAACCTCACCAGCATCTGTTGTTTCCTTGACTTTTCAAAAATCACCATTCTGACTGGTATTAGATTGTATCTCATTATGGTTTTGTGTTGCATTTCTTTAATGATCAGTGATGCTTGAGCTTTTTTAAATATGTTTTTTGGTCGCATGCATATCTTCTTTTGAGAAGTGTCTGTTCATGTCCTTTGCCCACTTTTTAATGGGGTTGTTTGTTTTTTCTTGTAAAGGTGTTTAAGTTCCTTTTAGATCCTGGATATTAGACCTTTGTCAGATGTTTAGACTGCACAATTTCTCTCCCATTCTATAGGTTGTCTATTCACTCTGTTGATAGTTTATTTTTCTGTGCAGAAGCTCTTTAGCTTAATTAGATCCCATTTGCCAATTTTTGCTTTTGTTGCAATTGCTTTTGGAGATTTCATCATAAAATATTTGTCCATGCCCATGTCCCAAATAGTATTGCCTAGATTTTCTTCTAGGGTTTTGATCGTTTTGCGTATTACATTTAAGGCTTTAATCCATCATGAGTTAATTTTCATATAAGATGTAATATAAATTAATGAGTTATGAGAAATGTGTAAATAAAATGTTGTGGTTGCTTAGAGGAGGAGGTAGAGGTTATTTGTTTGGGATAAGGTGGGGTGCAGGGAGTGAATGGGACTGTCCAGAATACTCACTAGAGGAAGTGTCACTGAAGTGGGCCTGGAAGAATGATTTGGTAAATTTAACCATGATTATAGTGTACCTGTCTGGGTTCCAAAGAGCTATCCTTTCCTTGATGTATCATACCACTTGCTTGACCTCTTTCTCTTCACATGAATGTACATTTTTCTGTTCATATTTTTTCCTGGTGGATCTATAACCAAATGGATGCATTAAGATGGTAGGATTGGTATAGGAAAGGAATAGTAGTCTGAGCTTCTCAAAAAGTGGTTGTCCCATCCTAACATTTCTTCACACTGACAAAAAATAACGAATGCTGTGTTTCTTTTTGGTAGTGAAGAGGTAGTCTTTATTTCATGAGGACAAGCCTGTGCAGTGCCCTGAGTTGAAATCTGAGTGGCCTTCTTCTCAATTCACCTTCATCTGCTTTAGAGTTCGTGAAGATTTCTTCAAGACTTTGGCATTTCATTGCCCTTCAGCCTGGCCTTTATTATTCTCCAGCCTATTAAGATATTTTATTGGAAACTAGGTGGATGTTGTCTGCGTCAGGGATCTCCAAAATTATTTATGGGTGGTTTAATGTGAATGTATATACAGGTTGAGTTTCCCTTATCTGAAATGCATGAGACCAGAAATGTTTGAAATTTCAGAGTTTTTTGAAGTTTTGGAATATTCGCTTATACATAATGAGATGTCTTTAAAATGGGACCTAAGTATAAACACGAAATGTATGTATGTTACAAATGCACCTTATTCACATAGACTGAAGGTAATTTTATACGATAATTTTGTGCATAAAACAAAGTTTTAACTTACATTTTGACTAAGACCCGTCTCGTGAGGTCAGGTGTGGAATTTTCCACTTGTGTCATCATGTTGGAGCTCAAAACGTTTAAGATTTTTGAGCTTTTTGGACGTCAGATTTATGGTTTAGGGATGTTCGGCCTGTAATTAGTGGATATCATAGTTTATGAATTTGTTGATGGTACTAAACACTTATCTATCATACAATAAAAATTCTCAAAATGACCACTTTTCATGTTATCCACATACACTCACCTCTGTGACATGAGACTCTTAACCTTAGTGTACAGAGTAATAGCATGCAGTCCACCCAAACAGGAAAGATCTAGCCACTGGCCAAGACACCTCAACAGGTATTTATATGGCACATCACTTCATTTATGGTGACATTTTGGGTCAGTCTTTGTAGAATGAAATTTGTTAGCTTCCAAATAGGACAGAGTATATTGAGAGATTCCAAAGAAATTTTAAAAAATGTACCATAACAACATGGTCATTTAGATATTTTATGAATTATGTACATGATAGGTAATGTTTCCACAACTGTCTTATAAAAGACAAAACTTCAGATTGTTGTTTATGTAGCTTTCTCTATTCTAAACAGCAGCTGAGTTAATTGATTACCATAGTAATTAGCATGGCTAAAGCCCATCTGTCTATAGAATTTAATTGTATTCCAGCCATGAAAATGAAAAACAAAGACTGATCAACAAAAGCTTCACTTTTAAAAATAACAAATAAAAGATAAATCAACTCACCTATTTTTCTCAGAAAAATTAAATTTAGCAGCCTGTATAGAAGAATTCCTTCTTACACCATCCCAATGGTATCTAGTCCATAGCATATTCTATTTTATTTTTTAAATGGTTTGGGAACATTAATGTCTCTGCAGGTTGTCTCTCTATTCTGAAAGATGTGGCACTCCCATGCTCATGCTCTGTTCCATTACACTTATGAATATTCTATCTCACTCAGCTCATAAAATGTGCTTAACTGCTGATATGCTCTTGTTTACTTATGTATTGATAAAATATTTCAGTGCTGCTTATTCACAGAAGTCGTTGGAGGCCTCCAGAGGACAGGAACTAATCAGAGTAACTACGTACTCTAACTTTCAAAATCAGGGAACCAATTTATGATGCTGAAGAGAAAGAAGATAGTATCATTGATTTTTTTTTCCTTTACAAACTTTAAATGAAATAGAACTGAAATCTCTCAGGCAACTCTAAAAAAACTGTTTTTGTCTTTTATTTTTCTGCATTTTTTTTTTACTTCAAAACAACTTAAAACACTATTAACTGTGAACAAAGACTTGGTTTTATTTCATGTTCTTACTGCAGTGTTTTTTTATCTAGAATGCAGGGTTGTGGTGGCCCCTTCATGCCAGTGGTTAAGAGACAAGAAACCCAGTGTTCCAAGGATAACTTGTAAATTACTGTTTACACAAATGAAATATACTGGCATTCAACTGACATAAAAAAATGAAGCCCCACTGTAGTTGACGTTTCTGATATTAAAATTGGGCTCTGAGACCATTTCTTCATAGAAAATTTAAAGCAAACAGGATCATCAGCTCCTCAATATGCAGCAAGCCAGCCTGAAAAAAAAAAAAGCAAAAACAAAAACAGAAAAGAGGACAAATTCAACTAAGAGCCATAATTTGTGTTCGTAGGGATGGATATAGCAAATTTATCTAGCAGTTAGCCTCAGGTCTGTACCTTCTCTGTATTAGTGTTAGGTAAGATCACCCCTTTATGATATTGGATTTTTTAAACTAAAATAACTAGGATTATCCTAAATACAAGTTGCCTTCCTAAGAAAAAGGAATCCATGCTATGCTTTTTTTTTTTTTTTTTTTCTTTGACGGAGTCTCGCTCTGTTGCCCAGGCTGGAGTGCAGTGGTACGGTCTCGGCTCACTACAAGCTCCGCCTCCCAGGTTCACGCCATTCTCCTGCCTCAGTCTCCAGAGTAGCTGGGACTACAGGCGCCTGTCACCATGCCCGGCTAATTTTTTGTATTTTTAGTAGAGACGGAGTTTCACTGTGTTAGCCAGGATGGTCTCGATCTCCTGACCTCTTGATCCTCCTGCCTCGTTCTCCCAAAGTGCTGAGATTACAAGCGTGAGCCACCGCGCCCGGCCTATGCTTTTTAATCTAATAGGCTCTAAGCTATAACTTCTTACCAAGAAGGCCAGGAGATCTGTTCTTTGAAAATATCAATTCAATCTGCCCTTGTGACCAAAAAGAGTCAACAAAATACAGGCATCTGCAAAAAACTATCAAAATTTAATCAATGTATGTTATTCTATTTTTTTATAAAAGGACAGTATTCTATATCTGCAGTTCTGGAAAAATAGTCACATAAACACACACAAGAACTGGATAAGATGCAGGTCAGTGACGTAGAAAGCCTGTTGTGGCTTTGAAGTAACAAAAGTAGAGCTTAAGTGCCCTGGATTTGTCACTTTTTATCTGAATGTCCTTGGACAAAGCATTAATTTATCCGAGCCTCATTATCCTCTTATGTAAAATGGGGATGATGACAATAATCTCTTTTCCATAGGATTTTGGTGTGGACTTAACGGATAATTTGAATTTGTCTTGTAAATAGAAAAGCACTCTACCAAAGTATGTCATTTTTTCCTCGTAGGAGTGAAAACAATAATTAATAACCTGGAAAAGTCAGACAAGAGGATGGAATTTATAAATGCTAAATAACACATGTAGATTAATTTTTAACTCCTTATTGACTAGAACCAGGTGCTGTCAGAACTGTCACAGCTGCCTTCAACCTTGCATTCATTCCAGGATGCCGCAGAATGTTCATAACAATCTTGATCACCAAATCTGTTTCAACACCAGGGAGTAACTTTCAAAGGTTGAATAAATACATCCTTTCATTGCATATGATTGTATCATGTTCTTGAATGTCATTTTTAACCATAGCAGTCTGCAAAGTGTTCTTGGAGGTTAAAGAAAGTAGATGACAAGGTCTTTGTTCATAAGGTGCTTATAGAATTGTTAAGCAGACACAACACAATGAAAAGACAATCTGTTCATCTAATTAATAGTGAAAAAGTGTAGCATATTAAGTCAGGTTAATATGGCTTACCTTGTGTGCAACAAAACTGTTGAACTTGACATCAAGAATATAAGTATGGTCTTTCCAATAAGTTAGTATTTGGAATTACTGTTGGGTAAGTTTATTTGTTGGATGGAACAATGAAAGAGTCTCAGTCCACAGGACACTTCCTTCAAAGGTTTTTTTAAAAAACCAAATCCCCAAAACAAATTACAGAGTTAAGGAGATCAAACATTTCACAGTGAATGCCCAGAGTCATTTGGACTGGACATTGTAACCATGAGGCCATAAGGTTTTCAAACCTAGGGGACTGCTCTAGACAAATGATAGCAGGCATCCAAATGTTCCTTTAAAAACTGGAATTTTTTAAAATGGGATTTTGACAGAGGTCATTGATCTGTGTCATGGGATAACAGGTGAATTATCTCAAAGCAGGTGCTTCAAACTTTTTTAGTGGTGTGCATCATGGTTTAAAAAATGTTTTTTGGTCACACTCAATATTTGTATATTTATAAACTATATGTCATATTGTATAACATAAGATATAAAATGGATGGAAATTATAAATGGGTTAGTTGATAAATATACAAATTAAATGTCCAGTATTTTCTTCTACTCACCAATAGATCTTAAGGTGCAAAAACCTCACTTCTGAAACTATTAGTAGACAATTAATTCCCTGTTGCTTTGAGTGAATGGCCAAGGGTCAGGCTTTCTTTCCAGAAGGCATGGATTAGGATCAAAATAGGAAGGCAAGGAAAGCATAGTCTGAGAAGAATGAAGAGAAAACACACATATGGGCACTTTCATGGGCAGAGACTAGCCTCTCCTGATACAGTATTCATCAGGTGGAGGTCAGGAGAAGATAGTGTTACAGCCATGGCTGCAGAGTTGGGATCAACAGCAGCAATGGCAGGAGCGGCAGGAACACAGCCCTTCCTACCCTAGCTTCCACCCTTCCTGTCCCAGTACAGAGTGCAGAAACACAAAGACCATCTGAGGGCCTTTGTAGAGAGCCCATGTGGTGCCTAACAGATATGTGGGTGCACAAGAGAAAAGGTCAAAATAAGGACAGCAGGTTTAGAAAGATGCTACCTTTGCTTCCTAGAGGCTGGAAGCTCATCAGTTCTTTAGACAGGCAGGTGAGTGAGCAAACAGCACTGTGGTTCTGTGATGCTTGTTCTTTTGAAGCAGACACTGTTGCTGCCCTGCCTCATCTCCCTGTGCTCATGTTTGTGTTCCTACAAATGCTGACACCTTCCGCTTTCCAGTGCCCTTGGGTCTTAGTTTCTCTGCCCTTGGGAGATTTGCTTAGGCCACCTCAGTGAGGAAATGCTGAGGCTTTCATACCCCTAGGGGAAACTCTGGGGTCTTATTCTGGTCTCAGTTTATCCACTTTCTCACATGTACTTCCTGGGATGACCTCTCAAATAAAGACTGCCTGTATCTACATCCTTGTCTCAATGTCACCTTCTGGGGAGAAACAAACCAGAACTGTATTTGGCAGGCGTGGGAGGGTTTTATATTTTATCCATTGTATCCATTGTGTTGTGTTTGTTTTTCTCAAGTAATTTTTTCTAGAGTGTCAAACAATTCATGTAGATTTGACGGAAAGCTAGACACAGTGGATTTGCACCCCATACCATCTGGTCAAAATCTTGATGCCTGGGTCAAGGTTCCATTTTGGTGTGTAGCTTTTATTAATTCTGCATGTCCTATAACAGTGTTCTCAACTGTTGCTCTAAATTGGCTGATTCAGATTTCAAAGTGCCTGTCAATAGATCTCAAACTTTTATGCAGTTGGTAATTACAATATGTAATAAAATGTAATAGGCTGACAGCTTGGCATAAGCCCTAAGGGCATGGGCTTTGGATGTGCCAAGGTTTGAGTCTCCACTTTGACACTTTTAGTTCTGTGCAAAAGTTTCTTTACATTTAAGAGAAGGATCTCAATGTTGGTATCCTGTTGACTCCTGAAAAATACACATAGCATTGAGTTGGGGGTTATTCTAAAGTATCAATCACTTATGATATTCAGTTAAATTGAGCAATATAGCTTGGGAGGACATGCTTCATATTCTTCCCACAACTTCTTGAGATCCATTCTTCAATAGAGATTATACAGATTTGACACTTACATGTGCAAATAGGTCATTTGTATGCACATTTTTGACAGAGACCTATGTATCTATCTCATTGCTTTGACAGTACAGTCATGCACCACTTAATGACAGGGATACTTTTGAGAAATGCATCTTTAGGTGATTTCATCATTGTGTGAACATCATAGAGTGGACTTAGCCAAACCTACATAACCTACAACGCTGTATGGTATAGCCCTTGGCTTCTAGGCTTCAAACCTGTACAACGTGTTACTGTACTGAATACTGTAGGTAACTGAAACACAATTGTATTGTGTATCTAAACCTAAGTACAGTAAAAATACAATGTTATGATCTTATGGGACTACTGTCTTACATACAATTTGTCATTGAGGGAAACATTATGTGTTATGTGATTGTATTAGCAAACATTAGAGATACACCAGCTTAAGTATCAGTTATTTATATGCAGTTCAGTCAACTCACTGTGGTTCCTTGAAGAAAATTCATGTACTCTGACCATTTATTTTACATGTGGAATGTCTACAGCAGCATGATTACTGATGAATAAAGCTGATCTCTTTTTTTTTGCATGGTACCTTCATATTCAAATGTATCCTTAAAGCCTATACTTGGAGATATTAATCCTTTTGATTTACCTATTTTATCTTAATTTATAACCCGAGATAAAAACTTATTTTCGATACTCAATGCCAAGTTATACATTTTATGAGACCTTTTCATTTACCAGAGTCCCAAAGGAAAGCACCTCTTCAGTCATGTGACATTTTTTCCTGAGAGCTTTCGTTAATGTTACATGTATGGCATATGTTTAAGTTTATAAGAGGCTGCCTAAAGAAAAGCTGTTGGGGAAATGCTTGGCATCATATTAATGCAAGTCAGTATGTTCCAAGTTTGTCCACCTTTTTTTCTTATATTAGCAATGTTTGCATATTAAAATATGGCTAATGAATGATACAAGTACATGTTGTGGTCATTTTGCTCTGAATTAGACTTTTAGGTATAACAGGGAAATTGGTCCTAGAAGAAGTTCTTCAGTAAATGCATAAGCTGTGATAGACTTCTTGCCAACCTGTAAAATTCCATCTGATAGTTGGTAGCTATAATAGTTCATCATTGGAAGAAAAATGCTGAGCAAATCTCCAGATCATGTTTACTTAATCTTTATTCTATGGCTACATAATGTGTTTCATGAAAAAGTTATGTGACATTTCTTAACAGTAGATTGTGTTTACATGATAGTAACACTGGACAGTATGAAAAATTGTACAATTTACTAAGAATGGATCGATAGTGCGCTTTTATATACTAAAGCCAGAACCATGGATATAAATAATAAACATCTTTTTTTTTCTCTTCTACTCAAAATCAGCACTTCTTAAATCTTACCCAGTAGGAAGGAACATTTCTGGAATGATTATATAAACCTGTCTTTGGTGGATTGAGTGAAATGGCAGATACCTCACCTTAATTGCAAAAGGGCCATTAAAGCTTGTGATATCAAGAGCTCCTGTAAAGCCAGGATGGCTGACATTCTATTAGAAATGCATTAGAGCAAAGAAGTTTGTAGTTCAGAAAGATGTAAGTAAAATACTGTTCAGACGGCGTTTTCTGTTGCTTACCTTGCAGCTGTTATTTATTAGATATTCTGGTTATTTAATTATATGTTTTTTGAGGAGATACTCAAGGTCATAGTTATAGCAGATTTTTAATTATATACAAAGCTATAAAAAGTGGAACATTTCACCCTGGGGAGCCCCCCAAAATGACTGTAACCACTTTATTAAGTGAGCTACCACAGAGTTTGGCTATGGTTACTAAATCAAAGGTTTGTGTATATGTTTTGTTCCTTGGGCAGTCATTGTTTCCATAGTTTTCATTTTTCACTATCTAGAAGTGCAAACAATAAACCTTTCAGGAAAAAAAACAAATTTTATATTTTTTATAGTTACTACCTACATAGTGTTCAGGAAACTTTACCAGCAAAAATAGCCTATAAACTTAGAGTGTGTGTGTCTATGTGTGTGTATATACATATATATCTATGTACACACACACACTAAATTTTGTATGAATATACACATATATATGTACACACACATTATATGTTTATAGTGTGTGTATATATATTGAGATATACATATATAATATTTTCTAAATATTTGTTAAGGTTCAAATATATATACTAAATTTTGGCTTAGCATAGTAAAAACAAACTGAGACAAAATACTGTATCACTTTTATTTTTGTAAATTGTAAGGTCAGTTTTTTTCCTTTCCCCTATAGGTTGCAGTCAGGTATTTTGGAAATTGACCTTAGGAAATTGGAGGGGGGTAAAATCTATTCTTTATTTGTGCTGCAGGTTTTATATGTTACTGTAATGTCATACTTCCAAACAATAATTACAAAAGCATTATCCTATAAGAAGTCCTATTTGTCCAGTCAATGCACAGAGTCTACGTAAATTAATGCAGTTGTCTCTTTAAGGCTGTTGAGTCCAACTATTAATCTTGAACAGTATCCCAGTGGAATGCATTATGTTAGAACTTGAAGGAAGAACACGAAGGATTGTAGATCAATTGAGTCCACAGTGTGAAATACAAACTCTACTTTTACTTTATCATAACTATTTTAAGAAAGCAAACTGAAGAGTAGATCCCAATATATTTTAGCCTGCTGGCATTCTATTATTAGGTTAAAATCCCTACTCTTTCGTGAATAATTAAAATTTCTACTCTATTCCAGTTTGAAACATTCTTCTTTCATTAACGAAGTACTGGTCTTTGTGCTTATGTTCTCTTTTTGTCCTTTGCTACATTAACTGGGGTAGAAAATAAGGAAGAATGGTTGTTTCCTTGTATCAGAGTCCTGATGGGATTCTTAGTACTTGTGAAATTAATGGGTTTTTACCACCTGCCTGAATGTGCTACTCATAAACTTGGCCATTAATACTCCTTCCTCTATGCCTGTACCCAAGGTGTTAGTATTCCCCCACCAATGCTATCCATCTCAGCAGCCCTCTTCCACCCAAGCTTTGGAAGGTGCTGTTCTAATGTGAATTGGTTAGCTATCAGCATAATAAGCTGTATAACCACCATCCCAAAACTCAGTGGCTTAAAACAGAAATCATTTATTCTCTCTTGTGTTTGAGATCAAGTCGAGTTTGACAGGCCTACACTAGGATTGGATGGTGCTGGCTCCCAGAGTCAGGTTGGATATCGATCTGCTCTATTTGTTTTTTATCTTTGGCATAACAAGCTACCCAATACATGTGCTTCTCATGGCAGCAGCAGAAGCATAAGCGGGTCTAGTAGAAACAGTGGATGACTCCTAAGGCTTAGAATCACAATTAGTACCCAACACTTCTTTCTGCCTGCATTCTGTTGTCTCAGTCAATTCACATTCCCAGCCTCAGTATCAATGGGGCAGGAAAATAAAGTGGTTGACATTAGAGGGAGTACTACAAAGTCACATGACAAAGAATGTGGAAACTATAGAAAGATGAAGAACTCGAACAATAATGCAATCTATCATATCATACACTTAAAATTGGCCTCTTTTCTCTCTCAAAACAATGCTGTGTAAGGCAGCTCTAGAATAATTCTCTGACTAATAAGACTAGTTATTCAGTAGGTCATTCTGAAGATAATCAATCCATTCCTAGTTTTCCGTAGACCACTGCAGCTCAGATGGGATCCATGGACTAGCTACCATTGCATGAACCCTTTGCTTTTGATCCACAAAAAGATAAAGCACTTATACCAAATGTAGATTAATTATGACCCCAGGTACATTACTCAGTTTGCTGAAATTGTTTTTATGGAGCAAGAAATTGTCAATGAAGGAAGCAGTATGTTTTGATTTTCAACTTGGCCCAAGGTATTCTTCATACAGCAGACAGGCACTTTGAGTAGCATTATCTAAGAGCTTGTCTAGAAAAATGTATTCCTTAATCCAAGATTTTGTTTCTTTCACTAACTATAGATTATACACATTTTCAGAACTGAAGTTAAAACATAATGAATTTGATACTTTTATATTAGCATTATAGTTCCTTTCTGTTTGAAACTATTCAAACAGAATTCTTGACCAGTAGCATAGGTCTATGCAGGGAATAATGTAATATTAGGATAGATATGAAATTTGGCAATTATGTAAATGCATAAGAAAAATGAAGTATAAAATGTCTGTTTTCTAAGCCCAGTACTCCCAAAATATAGTCATTGCCTTAAATAGAAAAGTATGTTTTCCACTGCCTCTTCTATCATATTCTAAAAACATTTATTATGTCCCTTAATGTGTACAAGTTACCTATTTAAAATGCATATGTGATGTAATAAAAATATATTGCTATTATTGATATTTATATGGTTTGTCATACATATTATCTCATTCTTATGGGATTGAAACATATCTTCCATTTTTTACTTACATTTAGAACCTATCAATAAATCATTTGTAATAGCTTTGGGAAAGATTAAATGGATAGAATCAGGTCATACTTTGTGGAGTTTATATTTTCAGTATTACGTCCACAGTCACAGTCATCTCAAACTTATTAGAAAAAAAAATTAATGAAATAGCTGCAGGGCCTAACATTTCTAGAAATAGTGTCAAGGAAGTCCAAATTTAAAATACAGCATTAAGTATATGTCTCCATCTCTACATTTTATTACATATGTTGCTTCTACTCTCTGAAGCAATAAATCGGCCTAGGAAACTGCCTCTCCATCTTTTGAACTCCTAAAATGTTTGCTGCCTAGAAATTTGTTTGGTGTTTATTTACTCATTGGTGTTATTTTTTCTGTGCATCTGTTTAGCTTAATGACATTTGTAGACTGTTTTACATTTAGTAAAACATTTCCATATTTTTTTATTTTTGGTGCTTATCGCAGCCCCATGGAGATGTTAATGTTATCACTATTTTGTAGATGAAGGAAGTGACATGTAGATTAGGTGATTTTTTTCCCGAAGACACACAACTAGAAAGTAGTAGGGAACACTCCAAACACATTTTTATTTTTAAAAGTTCATTTATGTCAGCCCTTCTATAATAGACACAGAAAATATAACGTTTGTGCAGCCATTTATCTCCCTTCCATGCTCAGGACAGAAACTAATAATTATACATGATAATCTTTCCCCCAGATCATATCTACAGCCTCAGAGAACTTTTCAACACAATATTTCAGAAAGAATCTTAACATTTTTGGAGTTGGCGCTCAGAATTAAATGTTTGATTTTCCAGCTATATATCTCACTTTGTTAGATTTATGTCTTTTGTCTCCCTGGCCGTATCGTGTCTGCCATTGTACTTTGCACAAAATAATACATGCTAAATAAATATGTTAATAGTTTTTGGTTAAATGTGTAAAAGTAATAATGTGGCAGAATTTAGTTGACTAGAGGAATAGTTTTTTTCTTTTATTATCCTTGAATAATTTATTTCTCAGACATTAATGGGCCTCATTTGTGCCAATAAAATGGCACATATTAAATTTTCTGTCACAATGCTTGACCCAAAGAATGCATTTTATACATTTGAGATTCAAGGATGAATTTATTCAGCGAACATTTATTGAGCCTTTACTCTATGCCAACTCTGTGCTAGGTGCTGGACATACAGTATTGAACAAGATAAATATAATCCTTAGCCTTTCAAAGCTCATTGTTTGCTAGAAGAACCAGATATGAAACAATAAAATCCACACATATAATACAAAGTGGAGTGTGTGTTTTTAAGGAAAAGAGTTGTCTGCAATGATAGAAATGATGCCCAATAAAAGAAGAGTTTTCCTGGTGAGGAGATAGAGGGTGAGCATTCTTTGCAGAGGACACCCTCTGCATTCTAAGGAGGTCCCAAGGCAGGGAAGTGCTTGGAGCCGAGGAGGACATGCCAGGCCATTGTGGCTGAAGACAAGGATCAAGGAGCAGAGCCATAGCTCTTTCCCTAAAGAACTAAAAAGTCCAGTAAGGAAAGAGGCACAAATCCGCAACAGCATTAATACTACACAATATGTTAAATGAGAAAAAGAATCAAAACAGTTTGTGAAAGAGAGGCAGGGTTAGAAATGCTTAACAGATGAAGAAGTGGTAAACCACACTTGGGGCATGAGAGGGAGGCAGAAAAGGACATGTATGAGTGCCAGGAGCACAGTGACTGGTGCAAACCTTGCTGGCCAGGGCTCCTCCCTGAAGAAAAGGGCCATCTGGGGACCACCTGGATTGCAACTAACAGAGAAGGGGATATATGAGTTGGGCAGATTCCCCAAAAGACATCTTCCTATACAGAAGCAATCTAACAAGATCACATGTCATGGGTTCGACTGCAGGGTTTGTGAATTCTGACTTCGAAACTGCAGATGAACCCACTCAGTTAACGAATGGACAATGGCAGACATGATAGGGCCAGGGAGACAGAAGACATAAATCTAACGAAGTGAGATATACAGATGGAAAATCAAACATATTTAATTCTGAACTCCAAGTCCAAAAATGTTAACTTCTTCAGTTCTGTTTACTGATATGTAAGTGCACAGAAGCATCTTGCCTCAAGAATATTGAGTTTCATTCATTTGTTCAATAAATATTAATTGAAATCCTCCTATTACTTCTCATTAGATTCAGATACAACACTGAATGAGTCCCAGTCTTTATTTTCCAGAAGCTTTTAGTCTGGGAAATGGGGTGTGTGTGGAGGGGGGTGGGGTGCAATTGGGGGACAATGTAAAGGGTGAGTTTTACAGGTGGAATCAATAAAATGGCACATGTTAAATTTTCTGTTACAATGCTTGACCCAAAGAATGTTCTTTCCCTTCCTCCATTCCCATTTATCATAGCATAAGGTACTGTATTTTTTTAATCTGAAAATCTCTGTCTTGTGAGAACCACAGTAGTCACTGTAGTAGATTTTCAAATCTTTCTGGAGATATAAATGGCAGTTATGGTACTTTACAAAACAGCCACTCTAGCAGATGCCAAGGATCTTATCGATGGTGCTCTTAAAAATTAAACATCGCGTACTTACTTTCTCCAAGTCTCTAATGTGTATACATATACAAGGCTTTAGGTCTCCCTCACAAAAGTTAGCACCCTAGCATATGTAGTAAGATAAAGACATAAGCAATGTCCCTTGACTGAGTCTTTTAAGGCATATGTCACACACCCACAAATAATCCCACAGGTAGAGGAAAAGATCAAGACTCCTACATCTCTGTTATTATTTGTTGAACGGTTTCGTGTTTAGGCATTGGAATTTATGAGGATTACTAATTGGAAATACCATATTTTCTGTAATGGAGATGGATGTTGGATCGGGCAGAACAGTGATGAAGAATATGTTGAGTGTTAGACTGGAAATTTGAACTGGAGAAAGTAGATAGAGACTAAAACATGGGCTGTGACTCATTCTGCAATGGATAGAGGTTTAATCTTCCTATCTGATGTCCTGGTGTTTGTTTGCATATACTGGATAATTTAAAAAAAAACAAAAAAAACGGAAAAACACCCAAGGAATGTTAATAGATCTAAGTAAAGAGGGTACCTTAGTCCGCTCAAGCTGCCATAATAAAATACCGCACACCAGGTGGCTTAAGCAACAGAAATTTATTTCTCACATTTCTACAGGCTGGGAAGTTCAAAATCAGGACACCAGCACATTGGGTGTCTGGTAAAGCCTGTTACCTGATGTATAGATGGCACCTTCTCTCTATGTCCTCACATGGTAGACAGTTTAGGAATCTCTCTGGAGCCTGTTTTATAAATCCGTAATCTCATTCATGAGGGCTCTGCCTTGTGATCTAATCACTCCCAAAAGGCCTCACCTCCTAATACCATCACCTCGAGGGTTAGAATTTCAACATGTGAATTTGGAGGGGACACAAACATTCAGACTATAGCAGAGAAATATTTCATGGCTGAAAAAGTCAGAGATTTCTTCCCAAAACCTGCTTCAAGGTGACCAACATTTCTTAAATAGTGCTACATGGCAAATTGTGGAAAAAAAGATTTTTCTGCCAATCCCACCTTTACACCAAACAGATTATAACCACCTTGTTCAGAGCAACAACCGTGTAGTATTAATGTTTTCATTCGAACAGTGGCCATGGTGCCCTTTCCGTGTTAAAGTAGCATTCGTACACTCAGGAAATATCGGTTGAATGCATATTTCAAGGGCCTTTTAAAGCTTGATATAAACACAGACATACCCAGTAGTTGCTAATTACTGCTCATTGTTTGCCACTCCAACTTCTCTCTTGCCCCTTATTTCTTACTTTTACCCTGATGGGTGGACATGGGCCTCAGCTCGGGGAGAACTTTGTGTGGGTCCAAGCCAGTCTTGGTAAGTCTGTTCCCCTTGCCATGACTGGCATAGGCCTGAGAATATGCCCAGATTCTGCCCAGTGAGACAGAGGGAAAGCTTGCTTGGGGATTTGAGAAAGGCTCCGCTTTCTTAAAAAGATATTTAGAAATATGTCAAGAAAGGCCTTTTCTTTGGCCTTGAATCCAACCCTGCGAGGGAGAGATAGCTGAAACTGCTGTCACATTTTAAGGAGAGCAGCCAACACATTCAGGATGGCAGAACAGAAAGGTGGAAAAACCCATGACTACCATGCAAAGCCATGAATTAATCAAACCTGAAAGTATCTACCTCCTGACTTCCTGTGAGAGATGACACCTTTTCCTTATTGTCTCAGTCAATTTTAGTTTGGTCATCTGTAAAATTTGCAGCCAAAATTAGCTTTTATAAGACCAGCAGATTCATTAAGCATGTGATACTGTGCAAATAAAAAGACCTCTGCCTATGTGTAAAATTTCAGAGGGATTCATTCAACAAGTAGATTTTGAGAGCTTACTACTATTTAAAATTTATTAATTGTGAGAATGTGTTTCTGTTGGGGTTTTGGACTCTGTAGCACAAACATGAAATTGATAGTAAAAACCAGCTGTCATTCAATGTTGTTTCCACGTGAGCTCTTTATATGCATGAAGGGACTGTCTGTGTCTCTGTTTTTAACCAAAAATGAAAATAGAAATGGAAAATGGGTGAATGGCTAAATTGGACAACCATGCAAAACTCTCACATGATATTGTAACTTTGTGAAATATGCCATTCTGGAGTTCAGTGCATACTAATACTCTAGTGCTTTTTAATTTATTCAGTTTTCAACTTATTAAAACCCATTTCATTCAGTACATAGTTACTAGATCTAATGTAAAGACATATGTAGGCTAGAAAATCATGCTTTTGAATGTACTGTTTTCTTTAAGGATAAAGTTAAATAGATGATTTTCCTATGTGCACATTTGCTTTAAAATCATTTTTTGTATTCCAGATGCAAAGGTAATGCTGTGTTTATTTTTCTTTTTTCTTCTGAAATACCAAGAAAGATGACCTGTAGTTCTTCTTGCCTCTAAAATTGGTCTTTTTTCTCAGATTAATTTAAAATGTAGCTTCGTTCACACCTGAGACCCCTTGAGAATAAACAAAATCTGCATTTCTTTTTCAAGCAGTACCCTGTCAATCTAAGAAGAAAAGAGAATCTTGTTTCAATTGCTGGCTTCTCATAGCATGTCATTTGTAGCAATCTCACAGAAGATTACTAACTCTAGCTAAATTTGAAACTTAGATTTTTATTGAGTGTGCTTCAGAATAAAATCTAGTAAGATTTAAAAGCAAGTATTCTTGGTTTATGAATTAATTTTTTTAAGTAGCACATTAAGAGTTTGGAGGAAGCGATTCACCAGCAATATCTTTGAAGCCTTCAAATGACGGGAATAGTAAGTTCTATCTTTTCCTTTGCAAAAATAACAGCAACAGAGGAATTGAGAACTTGACCATTCTGCCTAGTGGGATCATACTTAGGATGAAAGCATGAATTTATTCACCATCTAAATGCAGCTCCTAATTCCCAACAGGCACTCTGTAAAATCTCAATAAATGCTGATAGAGTGAGGAATTACTTTGGGTCTTGTCCCAGAATATAACTTCAAATTTCTTTTCTGCTGATCATGTGAGAGACTATTTGATTATTATTAATATATGGGCTCCCAGGGAAGCCAGACAGATGCCAGTATATTGTTAGTCATTTTTTCCATAAAGCTCACCAATTTTGTAGCATAAACCACAGTAGACCTCGAAGATGCCTATTTGGCTTCACAAATTGGTTGCTTTTAGCAATGTAGGCACACACAATCCCATCTTTCTCAGGATGTATTAAATGCTAGTATGTATTATTCTTTATTAAAGGCTACTTCTAACTCATCTGAAAAAAAGATTCTAGATTACCGTAGGAGGTCCCACAAGAAAGCATGTTTATCTTTTGTTTGTTTGTTTGTTTGTCTGTTTGGAGAGAGGATCTCACTCTGTCATTCAAGCTAGAGTGCAGTGGTGTAGTCATAGCTCACTATAGCCTCAAACTCCTGAGCTTAAGCAGTCCTCCAGCCTCAGCTCCCCAAGTCACTGGTACTGCAGGTGCATGCCACCACACCCAGCTAATCTTTTTATTTTTAGTAGACATGGGGTCTCTCTGTGTTGCCCAGGCTAGTCTCGAACTCCTAGCCTAAGCTATCCTCCTGCCTTGGCCTCCCAAATATGCTGGGATTGCAGGCATAAGCAGACCAGTACAGGTCTTGTGGAATAGGCATGAAGGAAGCAAAAATGTAGAGAAACAGACATAGAATATTATTCAGTAGCTATATAAAGGGATGGCAAAAATGTTTCTGTCTCTATGTTTCTGGGCCCATGCGAGACATTGTTAATTTGTCATTTCCATTTTTTCTATTTAACATAGACACAGGCTCAGAATCCTTCTTAAGATGAATACTGGAGGTTACTGTCACTATCCTAATTTATCTACTGAATAAAACCTAGTTGCTATCTCTAGAAAGATAATGAATTCTGACAAAGATCAAGACCACTTACTCAAATGTATTTTTTGGTAGCTCAGCACCATTTTTCTTCCTCTGTAGTCATCAAATCTTTATGAATCTTCTGCTTGGAGATACATTTCTATCCTGACCATCTATTTTGCCACAATTGCAATGATTTATAATAATAACAATGAGATGTTATTCAGTGTATGGTTAGATCATGCTACCTATTGAAAAACAAAAAGACAAGTCAAGCCTGATGCTTTTATATATGGGAAGTAAGTATGCCATTGAAGTAGTCACTACTAAACTGTTCATCAGTTTGCAGTTCTTCTTTACTTTTCCAGGCATCCACTCTATTGGAAGTTAGGTCTGGCTAAGACAGAAGAGTTCCCTGGACCCCTTCACAGGACTTGCAACAGTCCTGTATGGCTCACTGACTGGCTGCTGCACTCAAACCCCTTGCAGGACAGGGAGCATGCAGGCGAGCGGGTGCCAGGCTGGGTTGAGTGCTTTTGGGCTCCAGCCACACAGTAGCATCTAGGGGTGTGTTACAATTAATGCTCTTTTAGTAGTTGCCATCCACGGATGGCTAAGCGTTAACCAGCTCAGTGGAGAGTCAGGATGACAGCCTTTTATACCCTGCCCTCTTGGTACCTGGGTTCTTGTCTGGTATGCAGGAGGAATCAGGTCACACAGACTTGAAGGATGGTGAATGTGGAGGTTTTATTGAGTGATGGAGCTGGCTCTCAGCAGGATGGGGAGCAGGAAAAGAGATGGATTGGGAAGATAATCTTCCCCTGGAGTTCTGCTGTCCCAGGCCAAGCTCCTCTCCACATTCAGACACTTCAACATTCAGACACTTGTTTTTTCTCCTTCTCTGCCATACTGCTCTGCTCCTCTGCCAGCGGAGTTTGGGGTTTTTATGGGTACAGGGTGGGGGACATAGTGGGCCAGGGTGGTTTCAGAAAGAGCAACATTTGGGTATGAAAACAGGGTTGTGAAGTTCTCATTTAGGGCCGCAGGCCCAGGCTTGAGGGTGAGGCCTTTGCAGGGGAAACGTGCTCTTCTACCCAGTATTTCCCTGCCTCTTGTCCATAACATGGCCATGTGGTTTTCTTAGGCCATTCTTCATCTCCTGGTTTCCCCTGCATAGCTCTAAATATTACAGTACTAAAAGTTCATTTTCCCAGATTTCGGAGTGAGAAAACATGAAGTGGAGCCCCACCAACCCAAAGTGGACATGTAGCATGAACAAAAAATAAACTTTAAAACCACTAAGATTTAGGCTAGTATAATCTGTCCTTTCCTAACTAATGCTACTCCACTGGAGTCACGTTAGGGAAGAGTCCATGGAGGAGACACAGTAGTCTACACAAAGATATTTGAAGAGATTTGTTAGCATGAGCTTTAACAAGAAAACAAAAAGCTTGTTTCATTCTAAAACACCATCCGTTGTATGACCTAGCATTGACTTAGTAATAGCTTTGGGGGAGAATAAAAGGTCTGCATTAAAAGCACACAGTATTCTTTTTAATAAAATGATAATAGCATGCATTTATCCAGAAAAGTATAATGTCTTTTATTATCTCAAAGTCCAAATCCAAGCCTTTTTTACATTGAATCACAGAAGTCTTTTAAATCACTTCGGTAATTCAGTATTCATACATAGCTTCAAAGTAACATGACCTTTTTCAGAACCAGTGTGTGTTATTATGATTTGATCAACAGTGCACTTTTAGGACTCCAGATAATTCCGAGAAATATCAAAGAATGCTAGGAATTCATCTGAATTTTCATTAATTGTATCATTTTCTGCTTATGTGGGTTAGGTATCACTAGATGTTAAGTAATTCTCTTGAAAGCCTCCAACTTTTGATAGGTAGCTATTTATCATCATCATAATGCGGGAATCATTTGCATTAATCTTTCATAGGTTTACTAATTATTTGGCCTATTCTGAGACATTTCATAATTTCTACTGCTTTTAATTGCATTTTCTGAGAGAGGCAGGAAATTTATTTCCTTGAGCATCAGTGACAAATCAAAATACAATTTTTACTTTAATACATCTTCCCAGCTTTGGTCCCATAAAGCACTTGAATATTTTTTTTTACCAGAGAATATGGATGTGATATTATTTCTTCATTTTTTTAGTATATTTACATTTTCATTTCTTTTTCCATACTCATTTATCTTCACAAACACTTTTAAAATTTTGATACTGCATCATAGTACAACCTTTATAAATGTTTTACAAGTGACAGCTATCCAAATACATTATAATTCATCCATATATTATGCTACCAAAGATAATATTTGAAGTTGAAATCAGATGAACAGTTATCTCCTACTCATGACTAAATTTATGCTTACAAAATCTATGAAAACTCTGTCCCAACTTGCTCCTCTTCCTGACAGCTGGACAGTTACATTTAACAGTAATCATAAGATAGTTCCCTATTTTAAAATGTTAACATGCGAAGAAATTACTTTGGAATGCAATGACTTTGGTATTGAAAAGTGATTTAATCCGTAAATAGCACTGAAGCCATACAATTTAATAAAAATTTATTTTAAGTATAATTATAAATATACATAATGTGTTCATTATGTGATATGTAACTAATGTACATATTAAATATAGTCATAAGTTTATATACATCACAAGTGATAAACCAAACTAACTCTCAGCTTTCTCCTGGGAATTTGTGAGCCCTTTAGTCAGAAGTGACTAAGAAAATGCTTTCATCTTTGTCTGTACAGACTAGCACTTTAAGCATTAGGATATTTTACGATCATTGCCTCTGATCCACACTGTTCAATTCCACATCAACTTTATTGGGTTGGTTACTTCTTAAAGTTACTCTGAGAAAATCCTCATTATTGACAATATTTATAAAAATATTGGTTTTTCTATAACAAATGTTCTCTAGAAAAAATGCTAAATCTTGTTACTCCTGGGTATGACTTTTCTATTTTCCCTCTTATCTTTCTGTGTTTCTGAGCTATGTTGGCAGTGGTTAAAGCAGATATTTTTGTCATTGTGGTTGTCTTATTATTTTCTGGGTGTTAAGTTAGTATTATGGAAAGGATCTCTCTATTCAGGAGCCTTAGATACTGTAATACTTTCTACCATGCCATTCAACATTTCCCTTCACCCTCACAGTTCTGAATTTTATTATTTCATTTTTTTCACATTCTTTACATGTAAGTGGCAATATCGCAACACAAACAGACTACCATAGAAGAAAAGAGAATTATCAGAGAATTAATTAATATGAATGTGATAAAATCTACCATGGTTATTTTGGGTCAATCTTTATCCAGATTCAAATATTCTAAAAATTAGACCAAAAGTCATTTCAGAAAGTTAAATTATTTCCATTTTAATATTTTACCATCATTTCTGTAATTACCTATAAAATACAAGCTATTTTGAAGGAAAGAATATGATCGCTCACTAATGTACAATAACAAAACAAATTTTTGTACATTAAAAGTTCTAGTGAGGTGAAGAATAATAATTATGAATATAATACTTTGGGCATTATTACACTCCTGTGAGTGTTTCTGGCAAGTATTCAAGAGGACTTTATGGTACTTTTTCATTTATTCTTTTTTGGTGGACTCAGATTCTTGAAGAAGAATAATTTTGAGTTCAGGGAATAATCAAGTGATTACAAAAAAACATTGTCTCCAAATTGTTACTGTGAGCATGGCTGTTTATGTAACATTAACATCTTTGTTTGTGCCAAAAAGAGCTCTAATGTTTAAAAAAAAAAAAAGATATGTAACTGGCAAACAACCATCTCCTTCCCCAAATCTTTATAAACAGAAAAGTTTTGTATTACTACTGAGATCTTAGAAAAATCTCTGCTGGAGAATTCTAAATAAATGTCTGATGTTTAATCAGCTTTGCTCTTGAGTTTCTTAATGGCAGGCCATAGACTGAGCACAGGTGGATGTTGTTTTTGGAAAGCTAATGTGAGCTATTGGAAGACTAATTCTCACTAGGAACATGTGTTAACCAAAAATTCCTTAGTGAAGACCGTCCTATTAATAGTCCCAGGAGGACTTCAGCTCATTGATTGCAAGCTTCAGTGCGTTAGCAAACACTAGGGGGAAAAAGCTGAAAAAGCTTCCGTGCTGATTTTTAAACTAACATTGTTAGAGTCTAATTTTCACCTTTATCAGTTCACATGGTGAGACTCCAACCCTGTACTTTTTAAGTTAGGAGATAATTTATGGAAAATTATCTAATTAAATTCAATTTAATCCAAGTTGCATATTTTAGGGTCTGTTGTACAAATTGACCTATTCATTTTTAAGTTAGGACTTCCTGCCCTAGTCTCTTTTCTATCTTCCATCTCTTTCATTTCTTTTTTGCTGCTTCAACAAAACACCGCACATTGTCTCATCAATTAAGGTACTGTTTTGCATCTTAGGACACTTTACTGTGTTTTGATTCTTTGAGGAAGAGTGCAGAAATTACTTGAGGTCATTGAGTAGTAATGATAATAATAATAATAATAATAATAATGCATTTGCAAGACACAGGACTGATTTTGATTCATTTTGCTGAGCTTGCCACTCTAAATTAAATGGTTGCATAGGATGAGAACCTATGGAATCTAGTCAGTCACCGATTTTGTATATTGCTTAATAAATCCAAGAGCAGCCCCCATATATAACAGCAAACTATTTTACTTTTGTTACAGCATTTTTCTTCTTTTCTTTCAGAGTCACAACTTCTTAAAGTATGGTAGGGCCTGGCTCTGGTGCTACTGGTAGGTTGTGAAATGGAAATAGGACAGAGTAAGTAGTCATTTCAGAATTAATATATAAACCAGATGTTAAGCAGGATCATTTAAATGCATCTCTTCCAAAAATAATCCCTTAATGTTCATGCTAAATGTGTTCTCACAAATATAGGGCCCTTGGCTACATTAATATGAATTTCTTAGAAGTGAAATATTTGGGGCATTTTACAATTTTATTTCTGATAAAATTGCCTTTTATTTGTTATCTTTAAATGTCTTTCAGGTTTGTATTAATAATTTGCATTATTATTATAATATGCATATATAATATGTACTATTTGTAGTTAACCATTCATCCATGTATGTTTTTTAAAAATATATTTTGAGTGCCTCATATGCCCAGACTGGCAATATACTGGGGTTACATTGATTAACAAGACATAGTCCTTTGCCTCAGGAGTTTAATTTTCTCCAATATGATTTATTTTTTACTTTCCTTTGAAACTTTAAAGAAATTATACAGCACTTTTGAGTATCTTCAGTTTTTATCTCTTCTACCTAGATAGACTCAGAAAGAAGTCTTTACTTAGTTTTAAAGGGAGCAAAAGATAGAATACATTGTTTCTACATTAAAACATTTATTTTAATTCCTTCGTAATGTTTTCAACACAAATTAGTGTGCTAAGTGGATAATTATGTGCCTGGGACACTTTTCTAGTTGAAAAGAAATAGAGATTTTTCCAAACAATATGTGTTTGAACAACTTGTATTCTTATTTCAGATGATGGCATACAACTATATATAATATCTATTATATCTAATGCTAATATAATAAAATGTTACATATAGTTAGCAAAAGTGTTTGACCACTTACCCATTGAAGATTTGAGATTTGAGATTTTATTTTCCGAGCATTGTTTAATCTTATCTATTACCCATAGTCCAACCACTGGTATTTCTGTCCCCTTGGAAGAAAACTATTGAGGTGTCATGTCATTTTGTACCTGAAAGGAATCTGCCACATTATTCAGCCCCCTAATGTATCAGGTTGAGAAACAGAAGCCAGAGGGATGACATGGTGTGAATAATGCTGCTGTTTGTAATATAGGGGAAGAGTTACTAGGACTTGAAAGAGGTAGAGCTGACTTTAAGACTCAGCTCTTAAATATGGAAAGCTTCCATTCTTTGGGCTTGCAACAAATCACTTCTCTCTGTTGCTTTTGTTACCTGTTAAAGTAACAACAAAACAATTATTATAAAAAACAGAATGAAAGTATAATATTTGCTTCCTATTTTGTCAACTTATTTCTATGATGGACTTGCAAAATGGGTGTTTATAAACTATACTGCATCCCACACAAATTTAGGTTACTGTGGTTGTTTAGCAACAGAAGTGGGACTATATAGTTTACATATCATTCAACTACATTCTGGGCAAACATTACTGCTATGACATATTATAGGATCATGAAACAGCACTTTTATTAATGATATTTTGTTAAAAAGATCTTTTTGTAAGTTTGGAATTTCCTGATTCTTGATTGCTTTTGGCTTGTAGCTGAAAAGGGTTTGTCACTATCAGTCATGCTATTGGTTCCTGGCTGTCTTATGGGGACAAGAGAAAAAGGGCATGTCTGTAGTGTTCCACTGAGTTTGTGTGAGATGGCACAGCCTGCAACTATATCACTGTTTGATCAAATATTTTAATTTTTACTTCAACAACTATTTTCCTTTTGCATCTTATGTTGTCATGTATAATATTATGATATGAGAAGAAAAACATTACCATTATTCATAGTTTCATTTCTCCTTAAGCATTATTATATATGATGATGGATTATCACATACATTTATTGGGGCCAGGGGTGACTTCTTCATGAATGGGGAAAGCTGGATAAGGGGTGAGACTGTCAAAGGCAGTCAAAGACACCAAGGTGTGTAGCCTCTTGCTCTAGTCATTGTATACTGGAAATGACATCCTAGAGGAGGTTCCAAGGTCGGAAATAGAAAAGTGAGCCCAAGACAGTAAAACGGGATACTTCCCTGATCCCCCGCATAGGACTTGCGACAGGCATGTGGCTCCTCTTGTTTAGCTGTCATGCACACTCAAACCCCTTACAGGAGGGGGAGCACGCAGATGAGACCCCTGGGGTCCACTCCCATAGCAACATCCAGGAGTGGGTATCTGCAACTCCCAAAGCCCAAATGGGCACGTGATACAGTGTGCACTTTTAGCCTTGCTGTCCACAGACAGCTTAAGTATTAACCAGCTCCATGCCCTCTTGGTACCCAGGTCCTTGTCTGGCATCCAGGAAGAATCAGGTTCCACATGGACTTGAAGGATGAATGTGGGGGTTTTATTGAATGGTGGAGGCGGCTCTCACCAGGATGGATAGGGAGCTGGAAGGGGGATGGAGTGGGAATATACTCTTCCCTGGAGTTTGGCTGTCCAGCAGCAGGTCTCCTCTCTAGCCGCCCCCAGCTGAACTCCTCTTGATATTCAGATGCTCCTTCTCTTCTCTCTGCCACGCTGTTCGTCCATTCTTCTGCACTTCTGTTCGTCTCCTCCTCATCTGCTTCTGGAGCCTGGGGTCTGGAGTTATTATGGGTACAGGATAGGGTGGCATGGCAGACCCAAAGGCAACTTTTGGGAACAAAAACAGGAATGCCTGTTCCCATTTAGGGCTGTGGATTTCCAGGCTTGAGAGTGGGGCCTTTGCCGGGGAACTACCCTCTTCTACCCAGTATTTCTCTGACTCCTGTCCATATCAACAGGTTGTCAGTCAAGGACACAAAATGAAAAACCAGACTTGAGTTACAGAGTCAAAGCAAAGAGGTGGCAGGAAAGTAGGAATAAGAAGCAAAATAGAAATCATGATATGGTCAGTGGTTCTCAAACCTTAGGGTGCATCAGAATCACCTTGGAGACTTATTAATATGTATAGTGCTTGGTTCCGTGCCCAGCATTTCTGCTTCTGTAGGTCTGGAGTAGGACCTGAGAATTTACATTCCTAACAGACTCCTAGGTGATGTTAATAATGATGCTCTGGGGACCACATATAGCAAACCATTGGTCTAGATGGATTTCAGGGATAAGTAATAGTGCCTACAGTGACTTTCATGAGCTCCTGGGGTACTTGGTTGGGTGAGCTGAGTTTGCTGAACAATTGGGAATAAAATAGACAATTATATAACATTTTGGCTTTTTAAAAATTTTAATTGCCTTTTTTAAGTCAAATGCGTACCTCAGAGTTTATGAGGATGTGAACATCTTTCTGTGTTAAAATGCAAAATAAAACTATGTCATTGTTATATAAACATACATAAAAATTATTTCCTCTCTGTGAAAAGTGATTGTTTTCCTATTTTTGTAGTTTAACAGCTAGTACAGTGCTCTGGTTAAGCATGTGTGCTCTGAAAGTAGTAGACTGCCTAAGGTCATATCTTGATTCCACCACAAGCTTTGTGCCTGAGGTCACAAGTTTCTTAAATTTTCAGAACTTCCTTTGTAAAGTGGGGATAATACCAATGGCATGGGGTTGTTGTGAGGATTAAATGAAGTAATGGCTTTAAACCACTTATTGGAGTACCTGGCAATAGTTGCTCCAGAAATGTTAGCTGTTATTGGAACACCAAAGTAAATACCTTTGTTTAGGAATGTGACTTTGTGTATAATACTTTGGTACTTATCTCGGGTTTAACCTGAGAGGTTGTTCTTTGTATCTATAATTCATTACAACTCTTCTGCTAAGAATAGCCCTGAGTTGGCATTAAGTTAAATTATATGTAAACAGTGTGACTTAGAAGTGGATTACACAATTACCCGTAGCAAAGAATCTAAAATTGCCTCAAGCAGATTTCAGACTAAGAAGGAAGAACACTTTCTATAGTACAGTGGTTAGAAGCATCTACTCTGGAACCAGATAGCCTGGTTTGTATTCTAACTCTACCTTTCACTAGCTCTGTGACCTTGAGCAAGATACTAGACCTCTCTCTTCCCCAGAATTTTCATCTGTCAAATGGTGGTAATGACTTGGGCACAGTGGCTCACGCCTGTAATCCCAGCACTTTAGGAGGCCAAGGTGGGCAGATCACTTGAGGTCAGGCGTTCAAGACCAGCCTGGCCAACATGGTGAAGCCCTGTCTCTATTAAAAATACAAAAATTAGCTGGGCATGGTGGTGCGTGCCTATAATCCCAGCTACTCGGGAGGCTGAGGCAGGAGACTTGCTTGAACCCGGGAGGCGGAGGTTGCAGTGTGCCAAGATCATACCACTGCACTCCAGCCTGGGTGACATAATGAGACACTGTCTCAAAAAAAAAAAAAAAAAAAAAAAAGGTGGTAATAATACCTATCTCAAAGTCGTTATAAATATATATGGACATGCATACACACACAAGAGATCATCTGTATAAAGTGATTAGACCCTACAAATGAAGTATGCAAATTGCTTAGAACAATGCCAGGCACAAAATAAGCATAATTAGCAGTGTTTGCTGTTGTGCATATTTTGTTTGTTCAGGTGTATTTTTTGGCAGAATTTTTTAAGGAAAAATAAATCTGAAATATTGTTATTTTTCCCCTGTAGTTCAAAATACTGCAGCATAGGTCTCTGACAAATTTGTGAAATTGAAAACGAATATAGTCATCCCTCAGTATTAATGAGGTATTGATTCCAGAACCCCTTCCCGCTCCACATACCACAAGGATACCAAAACCCATTATATAAAATGATGTACTGTTTGCATATAATCTATGCACATCCTCTTCTATATTTTGAAATCACCTCTAGAAACAGTATAAATGCTATGTAAACAGTTGTTATACTGTATTGTTTAGGGAATAATGCCAAGAAAAAAAGTCTGTATGTGTTCAGCACAGACACAAGCATCCTGTTTTTAATAAATATTTTCAATTTGATGTTGATGAATCCATGAATGTGGAACCCATGGATATGGAGGGCTGACTGTACTGTCTTAATCAAACTACATAAGAAGGAAAGCCCCTCTCCCCACCCCTTCTACAGGTTCATAAAAATGTAATTGGCATTCATTTATAACCAGAGTTAATACCTTTAAGACAGTGTAGACTTTAATGATGTTTTAGAAAAAAGAGTCCCCTTTTATACTTAGAAAAGTTCTAAAAGTGTACTTTGAAAGGATATCATTGACTTTGTTATTACCAAGTTCTGTGGTCTTTTCTCCGTCTATTGTCCCCTGGTCTTGTTTTGCATGTGACTTTATTGACCACTCTGTCCTTGAAATTGTCCCTTTTCTGGGCAGCCTGACTTACACACAGCTTCCTTCCCAGCCATTGCTCCAGGTGGGCACTCCTTCTGTCATCTGCCACTCCCAGGGCATGTCTGCCAGCACCAAGCTTCACCTTCCCTTCTCAGGACACTTCTTGAGAGGGATCACTGATTCCCAAGGCCTCCTCTCCCCTCTCTAAGCTGAGGCCTTGTGTCTAATCTGTTCTCTCAGCTAGCTCTGTAACCCCAAAGCCTGCTAAGTTTCCACTTGAATTACTCATCACCACTTCAAAACCAAACTTACATTCCTCTAAAAATGTTTCCCCTGGCAGCATCCTTGAGTATCAATAATACCACACTGAGCCCAGGCTCTAGGCTTAGCATGCTGCTGCTACCTCTAACCAATACTTTTACATTCCTTTCTATTTTTCCCCCAAAGTGGCATCACTGCCACCTGCCCTTCCAGAATAGGACCTTGTTACCCTCACCTCTAGTTCCTAGGAGACCTTGATGCTCCAGGCATTTTCCCTCCAGTTTGTCTACTGTATCACCAACAGGCTAATCTTCCTTTTAACAAACTATTCACCCACACCAGGGCTGATCTGTTTGTACCCATATCAAGTGGAGATATTTCTGCCTGGCTTTCAAATATTTCCATAGTTCCTTTAAAGCTTCTAGCCTCTTATGTCTCACTTGGGCTCTGTTCTGGGCAGGCCTCTTGCAAGGATCATATGTACACATTCTCCACATTAGCCCTTGCTGCTCACCTGGCCTTTGAGCAACCACAGCATTTACACTCAGCACTTAATATTCCCTTTTGCCTGTTTACATTTGTGCAGTATGCATCAACTTTTTTTTCCAAGTGTACGAAGACAAGAACCATTCTTTAAACATTTTTAAATTCTATCCAGATCTAACATAGCATCTGAAACTGTAAAGAAAGAATATATAATACCCATGAAAAAGACCAAAGAGAAAATGTGATGCTCAATTCACTTATACAAATGAGGAATCTGAATACCTGAGATAGATATTTTAAAATTTAATAGTAATATATTTAGACTCATGGTTACCTTCTATTCATGGCAAATGATGGCTGCTTGCCATTTACATTATTGGCATAAAGTTTTATTTTAGAATAAATTTGCTTTTGATTAAAATATTAATTTAGAGAGAAACTAATAAATAATTAATAGCACTAGAGGCACAAAAATGTGGCAAAAATTGTAAGGGTAATACTCAAGTGATAGAAGTCTTGAAAATACTATAATACAATATGGTTAATCTATGCTTAATACATAATTGTTGACTGACTAATAGCTCAAATCAGTCAACCTAGAAAACAGTGTTCAGACCTGTGTTAGTCATTTTTCACACTGTTATAAAGAACTACCTGAGACTGGGTAATTTATTAAGAACAGAGGTTTAATTGGCTCACAGTTCCATATGGCATAGGAGCCCTTGGGAAACTTACAATCATAGCAGAAGGTGAAGGGGAAGCAAGGCACCTTTTACATGGCAGCAGGAGGCAGGGGTTGCAGGGGACCGCCACACTTTTAAGCCATCAGATTTCATGAGAACTCACTCATTATCACGAGAACAGCATGGGGGAACCACCCCATGATCTAGTCATCTCCCACCAGGTCCCTCCCCTGACATGTGAGGATTACAATTAGAGATGAGATTTGGGTGGGGACACAGAGCCAAACCATATCAAGACCCATTGCCTAAAAGCCCCTTATGACAAAATGAGCAGACACCAGTTTTCGCAGCTGATCTTTAAGCATAAGATCAAGGGAAGGGAAAAGACTCAACGAGCAGAAATGATTTTCGTCTCCTAGGAAGTTGTCTGCTTGCTGTCCTTGTTGGAAGTGCTGCCATGACTGCAGGCCACTGCCTTCATCTGGAGGCAGGGAGTGGGGACATCCCTCAACTACCCGTTGCTTTTCCTACGACTCTGTCTCCCACACAAAGTCTAGCTGAACAAGCTGCAACACATTAACATTAAATGAGTCCAAAAAAAGTTTAAATTCCCATATGCAAAATCACTTGCAAAAGAGACTTTTGTACTTCACATGCCAATTCTTATCCTCTTTGTCTTATTTTTGGAAGCTCTAACAGCCACCCTCAGAAACCCTACCTTACAGTGGTTTCCACCAGCAAGCATAGCTTCCCTGACCAGGCTCACTGAATTATAGTCCTCAAAGTAAACTCTCTGCAGGATAACATAAATAGACTGTGGCTGGAGGTCTGTTTATGGTGGGGCCTAAAAAGCCAAAATCCAAAATGCAATGAACTCTGAATATTGAGAGAGATGAAAAGGGGATCCACTGTATGATGCAATTCTGATGAAAACTACCGGGAGTTAGGCCAAATTCCACAGGTTAAAATTACAAGCACCACAATATGGTACTCACTTCAGACATCAGCTGCAAGTTTGGGGGACCCCAGCTCACTTGCACTTCTGACCAATTGGTTATAAATTTGGGAGTCCCTATAAACCCCCAGGTTTGATATTTGCTAGAACAACTCACAGAAATCAGAAAAGCACTGTACTTAAAATTAAAGTCCTCCTATAAAGGATATAAATTAGGACCAGCTAAATAAAGAAGCACATAGGGTAAGGTCTGAGAGGGTCTCAAGCATGAAGCTTCTGTGTCCTCGGGACACATCAGCCTGCTAGTACATCAATGTGTATCCCCACCTGGGAAACTCACCCAAGTCTTGGTGTCTAGAGTTTTCACTGGAGTTTCATTATGCAGTCATGATTGATGGAATCATTATCAACATGAGTGGACTCAATCTTCAATCCGTCTTTCATCCCCAGAGGTTGGGAGAGAGATCAGGTTGAATGTCATAATGGCTCCAAACCCTAACCCTTAATCACATGGTTGGTCTATCTGGCATGGCCGACCCCCATCCTAAAGTTATCTGTGGGCCCACAGTGAGTCACTTCATTAGCATAAATTCAGACGTGGTCCCGGGGGCCATATCATGAATAACAAAAATATTTCTATGACGTGAGAAATTCCAAGGGTTTGGAAACTCTCTTCCAAGAACCCAGTACAAAAACCAGATAAATTCTTTTTATCTGGCTAACAGCATAGAGAAAATACAGTAAGAATTGGACCTATTTTAACTCATAGAAAACCCAAGACACAAAATTATGATTTTTCGTGGTGGAAGGATGGATGAAATTATTTGCTGATTCTAATCCATACTAAATGAACTGAAGTTCTGAGATTGTTGTTAGTCTTTGCTTGTCAAGAATGATATTAAGAGAACTCCCAAAGTACAAAGTTAGACAGACATCAAGGGTGGATTTGTGAAGAATTTAGGGAGGTGGGGGATACTAGAAGAAAGATGTGTTGTTTGTTTAATAGAAGGCAGAAGGTTACCCATCGGAGAATATCAATTGAATACAAAATAAAGGGTCATTAAACATCACTAGAGTCTTTTCTTTTGTTTTTCACTCATTCATTCACTCAGCAGTCTTTATTGAGTATCTCAGATGCTAGTCACTGGACATAGATTGCTACGCCATCAGTGTGAGAAAAAAAGTTTGTTTATTTGCATTTAGACTTAATGTTTTTAGGCAAAATAAAGAAGTGTTTTGAAGTATGATGTGTTGTAAACTGTTCTCTTTTTTTGACTTTCCTGTAATTGGAGCAACATACTAATTTCTACAAGTTGTGACTACTAACAGAGAGCAATCACCTCACAGACTTGTACCGAAGAGATGAGACCATCCAGGTGAAAGGAAACGGCTACGTGCAGAGTCCTAGATTCCCGAACAGCTACCCCAGGAACCTGCTCCTGACATGGCGGCTTCACTCTCAGGAGAATACACGGATACAGCTAGTGTTTGACAATCAGTTTGGATTAGAGGAAGCAGAAAATGATATCTGTAGGTAAGTTGGGAAAAAAATTTTTACGGTACTATTTCAAGGTGAAAAAAGAAAAAGATGAATTTAAAGCATCGTATCAAACATTCCTTTTGAGCCTTTTAAATGGACCCAACATGTGTCGCTTCTTTTTCAAAAAGCCTAAAGACCCTAACAGACAAGATAGCGTAGACTGCTGAGGCAGAGAGCCGAATAACCTGGCAGTACTCACAGAAACTCACTTGTGCAACTGTCAGGACTGTGTGACCTCCAAAGAAGGGTGAAATCTGGAGGTCCTCTCCTTTTCCAGGCACAGAGCAGCATTTATGCACAGGTATCCAGCATCCCAGGTTACGGGCAGCTGCATCATGTGTGGTCAAAGCCTGCCATGGGCTTAGGGAGCATAAACCCCTGCCCGGCTCCCGCTGACCCAGGCCTTCCTACCCATAATGAATTACGCCAGCACTGGGAGATGATGGTTGGGGAAGCTATCAGGGCCTGACCCCGAATTCATAGTGTTAAGGCCTCAGATACGGGTGGGAAGGAAGAGAAAGCTCACCCCAGATTCCCTGTGCTCCTCAGAAGGGTCTGTTTCTTGCAGTTTCTGGGTCACAAGTAGAAGATGAAAGCTGTGTCTGATAATCTTCTCTCTTCTTAGCATATTTATCAAAGAAAGCCTGGACTGTTGTTCTTTGAATGTCCGCTCACAGCATTTTACTCGCTTAATTAGCATGTATAAGACTTGAGGAAGATTTTTTTTTTCTTTTTTGTACTTTACTGCACACACTTGTTCTGCATTGCCAATGAACTACTGAACTGCTAAATCCTTTCAGCGGGTTTATTTTCCTTTGAATAATAAAAAGAGGGGCCTCAAATTTGGTTGTCCTCTGTTGCATGTTTATTATGCTGACAGCTTTTATTATGTTGCTATTTTGCTGAGAATAACAGCACTGACTATTACTTTCTAGGACCATAGAGGGTAATGTATGCCAGAAAGCAGAGATGAATACATTAAGGAAGAGCCAGTTAATATTTACAAAGAGAATAAACTAATGCTGATCTTGCGTCTTTTCCATCTCAAAAAAAAAGAACTAATATTCTGTGCCTAAAAAATCATGGGAAAAAGACGCTATTAAAAGATTATTAAAGGTGATGATGTGGAGGGTACCATGATCTGTTTCTGCCCATAGAACACTTCCAATACCAAATCTGTGAGGTGAGGGTTTTTTCCCACAGCAGTTAATCCTCCAACACCAGCTTGTTTTGTCCTATTCAATTCAATTCAGACACTACCTGGAATCAGTGTCAGATCCCACAAGTTAAGGCTCAGTCCCACAAGACTGCCTCCATGTTCTATGTCAGTTGCAGCTTCCAAGCCTCTCCTACTTCTGATCAACCAGCTGTAAATAGGGGTTCCATAACCCTCTTCTTGGGTTGAATAATTTGCCAGAACAGCTCACAAAACTCAAGGAAACAGTTTCCTTGCTATTACCAGTTTATTATAGAGGATGCAACTGAGGAACAGCCAAGTGAAAGAGATACATAGGCAAGATGTATGGAAAGAGTGCTTTCTCTGGGTTTGCAACCTTCGAAACACCTGGATGTATTCACCAGCCTAGAAGAGTATTGATGGAAGTCTCATTGTGAAGGCACGATTAATTAAATCATTGGTGATTGAACTCCATCTCCAGGCCCTCTCCCTCCCCAGAGGTCTAGGGGTGGAGCCAAAATTTACAACTCTCTAATCATGTCTTGTTCTTTCTGGTGATGAGCCTCCATTCTGAAGCTACCTCGGGGCCTCCCAACAGGTACTTCCAAAAGGCAATGAATTTATTCATTAGGATAAATTCTGGTATGGTTGGAAGGGGGCTTATTATGAATAAAAAAAGATGCTCCTCTAACCCCAGCACTCAGAAATTCCAAGAGTTTTAGGAGCCTGTGCCAGGAACAAAGACCAAATATATATATTTCTTATTATTACAATATCACAGAAGGGAAGCCAGGTCTCCACTACTGAGCTGGAGTTTTGATCCTAGCAGTGAGTCCTTTTGACATCCTGGCCTTGAAATTAAGGGAGGAACAGTGAGGATGGTTTCCTTTCTGAACCATTAATCAAATCTAGTTGCTCCTCAAAATTTATGGAAGGAAGTAGAAGTATAGCAGGTAGAAAAGAGGAGAGAAAGACGGGAAAGAGACAGACCAGAGACTTGTCTCAGAACCCTCCCTAAGAGATAAAACAGCCCTCTCTTGACTTCAGGTTCAGAGTTAAAGTTACAATGATGTGTTCTTTAAACAAAAGTGACCTATGGTGTTATTAAAAGTTTCAATTATAGTCATGCTTTGTGCAGTAAATATGATTTACATGTATTGTATACAAAATGAAATGGAATTGATTTCCTACCATCTGTTCCAAAGCCTCCTTGATGTTTACATTGTAATATTTTGTTGCTTGCATAATGATACTTTGTTAGTGCTTTTTACCTTCCAAGCACCATATAAACATTAAGTGATTAATTTACACAGCACCCAAGAGATATGGAGCTGGTAAAATTATATAAGCCTTCTTATTTTATCCATAAGGAAACTGAGGCAACGGACATAAGGGCCTTGTAAATCACTGTTAGAGAAATTTAGTCACAATATCATTATTTTTTACTTTCTTTTTACATTACCTTGCCCAATCCAGTAGAGCTCTGAGGTGCATGAGTAAGACCAGGAAGGCCATATTGGTTTCTCTATGTATTCAGAAATAATGTTTCTTATGATGATTCCTTCTGATGATTGTAACAGAAAACTGTAATATGGATGTGAGATTTCTGCCACTGTTCACCCTGAATGCCCATCATTTGCCTGTGACCTCAGCATCTGAAGTCACTGTGGAAAAGTAGATTGTAGGAGCGAGATACTGATGACCAAAACTGAAAGAAATAGTTCAGCTTATCAAGTAGAAGGTTCCAACATCTTAGGGAGCTGAAAATAGAATAAGTGCTCCCTAGAAGATGTAAACTATGTTACTGAGGATCTCCTACTATGTGATAGAATGATGGAACACTCTGGAGGTGCTTTGAAGACCAAATGCCCACAAGGATAACTAAAGCAGCTTTTGCTGTCTTCTTGAATCCCAGGATTCTAGTTTCTCCGACCAATGCCAGAGGTGAACTTATGGTCTTAAGCTCATTCACACCCTGGTTTAACCAGCTCAGATTTTTCCAATATTGGTTAGCACACATCTCTCCTTAAAGTTACATGCTTTCCTTCATGATAAGTTTCATATTTTATGACGTGATCATTCCAAAAGATCGTTTCCAAAAAGAGAATATAGCAAGTCGTGTGTATTCATTTATTTTCTGTAATGGCATTACTGATTTTGTAAGCTATATAGATATAGGTCATTTACTTTCTCAAGAAAGCACCGAATGCAGTAAATTAATTCAGAGTGGGTATTTGTTTTAAAAACTTTATATAGTTAATATTTGGGCCTATAACTAGAGTTACATCTCCTAAAATATGCCAGCAATTACAGATATTAGTTTTTCCAAGAAAACTTTCTAAAACCAGATGCTCAGAAAGTGACCCATTTTGATTATTGAAGATTTAGGAACAGTCATGACTAAATGTATGTAAAGGTTTTCTCAGAATAGATTACTGAAGCTTGAATTTGCAAACCTAATCCAAAAACCAGTTTTCCTTTTAACATTTCTGTACATTATAATTTTCATTTCAGATTGTGGTCATGACAAATCATATATGCTAGTTTTAATTTCTCAGTGAAAGTATGAATTTCAAAATCTACTTTAATCAAAACTTGTTCATTATGTCCAATTGATTCTAGGTATGATTTTGTGGAAGTTGAAGATATATCCGAAACCAGTACCATTATTAGAGGACGATGGTGTGGACACAAGGAAGTTCCTCCAAGGATAAAATCAAGAACGAACCAAATTAAAATCACATTCAAGTCCGATGACTACTTTGTGGCTAAACCTGGATTCAAGATTTATTATTCTTTGCTGGTGAGTACTTAACCACTTTATGATTAAAAGCAGACACTGGTTTCATGAAGTGTAGAGATCAATTTTCTATGATCAAATTCAGTGAGGGTGAGTGAACTTTATTAGTTCCTTATAACATGGTTTGTTCCTACCTTATGGTCAAAATGTTAAAATCCTTCTTAGTAAGAAATACCATTTTGGATCTATTAAGTCAACCTTTGTGCCATGCATTTTGAAAGAGATCATAGTACATAGAAAAAGGGAAATCTTTAAGGTAAAGCTGATACTAAATTGCCTTTTGATTCAACTGATGCAAGGTAAACATACAGCCAAATAGAAGGTATGTGAGAGTTAAACAGGTTTTCAGAATTAAAGCTAAAGAAAATAATTTCCTCTTTTAGTTTGAAAATTTGTGTATAAGTTCTATCACAGAAGAAAGTCCTGATGATTATAATTTCAATTATGACCCAGATTTGGGAAGGGTCTGTGTTATAATCATAGAGCCTCAGGGCTCATAAGCATCTGCAAAATCAAAAGGTCCAATAGAGGACCCAAGAGTATGAATCCTGTTTGCTACACTCATGCTTATTTGTAGCCTTTTCTCTACTTAAACACCTCAGCAGCCATTCTCAACTGTAAATGGTTCTGACTGATAGAAAATGTTCAACCTTATAATGAGCCAAAATCTACATTGTAGTTAATTTTAGTCGTTGGGTCACACACAGTCATGGGTCACACACAATCTTTACTCATTCATACATTAATAAAACAATAGTAAGTTCCTGTTCTTTGTCAGGCACTCTGGTAGATGTAGTAGATACAAAGGTAAGCAGAACAGACAGGGTCCTTGAACCGTCTGGAGCTTAAAGTCGGGTAGAGATGCCAAAAACTAAAAAGCAGCAACAGGCCAGGTGTGGTGGCTCATGCCTGTAATCCCAACACTTTGGGAAGCTGAGTTGGGAGGATCTCTTGAAGCCAGGAACTCGAGACCAGCCTGGGCAACAAAGCAAGACCCTATCTCTACAAAAAAAATTTAAAAATTTGCTTGGTTTAGTGGTGTGTGCTTACAGTCCCAGCTACTGGGGAAGCTGAGGCAGGAGAATTGTTGAGCCCAGGAGTTTGAAGCTACAGTGAACCATGACTACACTACTGCAGTCTAGCCTGGGTAACAAAGCAAGACCCTGTCTCAAAAAAAAAAAAAAAAGGAATAGCAACAACTGAGAATGATGCATAACAAGACACAATAACTGAGTGCTGTACGTTAGGCCCACAGAGACATTTGGATAATTTTGTCTATACATTAACATAAATATCCCAGAATCCTTCAGTTGTTTGTAGCATATTGCCTTTTAGGATCAATTTTCACTTTCTTTCGGTTTGTCTCTGTCCCTTTACCAAGTGTGAATGCCAAAATAGAACACAGTACTATAAATGGCATCAATTTATTTTTTTATTTTTTATCTTAAGAATTAAAGTTTCAGAAAAGAAAAAAAAACTTGCTTTTTAAAAAATCTAATTGGTTTTCTTTGCATTATGGTGAATTATTAAACACTAAGTGAATTCTACATCAGAACATTGTAAATGAAAAAATAACATGCGGTAACACTGGTTCCAGTTTTAATGTGAAAATAATCCATCAAGCATGATTTACATTATTGCAAACTCATGCAGTTCTGCTAAGTATTAAAATTGAAGTGTGAACCTTTGGTTTCTACATTTATTTGCCTTTTAATGTGTTCAGTGATGCATCTGTTCTCAATTATTCATGGATGGAGCAGGCTTGGCATGTGAGAATGGTGATGGATAGGCTTAGAGAAGAATTATTTTTTGCCTTAAAATACCAAGCACTATTAGTGCTAATGTTTTGTTATGAGTAAGCTGAATGTTCCATAAGTCAGTTGGAAACACCATAACTACAACATAATGTCTTTAAGGCAAAATAACCACTTTTGTAAAAAGCAGTAGGAATACAGTTTTAAGGGAGAATGGATACTTTTGTTTGATGTGTTTTGGGTTATGGTGCAGTCTCATAACTCATTTCTTGGTCAATTTTAAGTGGAATATTGGGCTGCCTCTATAGTTTGGATGTAAACTGTTTGGCATCACTCTCCTGGCTTATTTACCTCCACCAGTATATTCAATTTTGTGTTTTTTTTTTGAAATGATGATATTACAACATTCTTGTGTATTTTTCTACTGGTCTGTTGGTCTGTGTCCATTGAGAATAGCTACAGACTCTTTTGCCTCCTAATAGGCTTCTGGCCTTAAATATGGCCCACTAAAGCCAAAGTATTTTGACAAACAAATTTTAAGAGATAGAATGAGCTTAACCTCCAGGTATGTAGAGACTCTAGATCATGTGGCTTTTTGACAAAACTCTTCTGTTTGATTCTTGGCTCAGCAGGGATAGATCACATATGGTTTGACCACTGTACTGGGAAGATCACTTTATTCATGTTTAAATTTTACTTGGAGAGGCTTTAAAGCAGGGTTTATAAACTTAAGAGACCAGGCTTGAAACTGGAAGTAGGCCAGGTGTAAATTAATAGGGAGATAGTGGGATTAAAAATGGCAATCCCTCTTCAAGTGTGTTTAAATAATAAATTTTAGAATGCTAAACACATTTAGGAGCTAGAGTCAGCTGTTTTGCAACCCCTACTTTAAGGAATACTAGATGCAAGAAAAATATGAGCCTTAAGATTAGTTCGTGGCCGAGTGTGGTGGCTAAGGCCTATAATCCCAGCATTTTGGGAGGCCGAGGCAGGAGGACCCCTTGAGCCCAGAAGTTTAAGTCCAGCCTGGGCAACATAGTGGGACCCTGTCTCTACAAAAAGTGAAAAACAAAACAAAACAAAACAGGCATGATGGCACATGCCTGTAACCTCACCTACTCCAGAGGCTGAAGCTGGAGGACTGTGTGAGCCCAGAAGGTCAAGGCTGCAGTGAGCAGTGATGCCACCACTGCACTCCTGCCTGTGTCAGAGTGAGACCCTGTCTAAAAACAAACAAACAAACAAACAAACAAACAAAAACAGCACACGAGAAGTCAAGGTGCTCTTGGAAAATGAAGAGTAGCTGTTAGGATAGATCATAGGTCAAGTTCACCTCCCTTCTCATATCTACCTCTCTACCTGCATACCTCCCATGGAACATCTCTGCTCTTCCTGCCTCAGTGACTCTCCAGGTGTACCTGGACATTTCCTAAAGCTACAAGTAGTAGGTATCCAGGACTGCAAGAGCCTATTACACTGGAATCACATCTACATGGTTCATGCTCATAATGTTTTTGGAAAAGTGCAATGTACATTTTTAGTCGGTTTTTTACTCTAGCAAACTGTGGAGACTAATGGATAACATCAAGATAACTTATTTTTGGTTGGGATTGATGCTTATATCACAGTTTTTGATGTGTGGAATTCAACCTTCTACCTTCTTTTAGCACCTGTCACAGTGCCCACCCAGGGCATGGCAGCATAGCCATATGGGACCAGTGCCTTACCATAAAGCATACCTTAGATTGAAGGCAGGATTCACCCATTAGGAATGGTGCAATATTAAACAGCTTTCTTATCCTTTGCTTTTACATCTTTTAAATGGGAGTAATAATTGGAATTGGTATAAAATTTTAAAATGATAATTACTTAGCACAATGCATAGGATGTATTAAGTGTTCAATAAATGATGACAATAATTCTACCTTTTACCATCACAAATTATGTATATATCTGTCTCCTCCAGATACACGCTTATCTGCTTGTTGAAGTTGGGATGTGTATCTCATTCCTATGCATAATTCTATACAGTGCCTTATACATGGCTAGACCGTGTGTTTGTTGAAATGACCCTTTCTTGGGAAAATATGATTCATAAAATTTGCCTCATTTCATTTTATTGCTCTCCTGTTCAGCCTTCTTTTCTGATTCTACCCCATTAAAGATAACAGATACCTTCAGAAAGCATAATTAAGCAGAATGGATAATGTTGTCAAATATTTGGTAGCGAGATATGATTATCTAAATAAATTAGGATCTCCTGCCACAAATCTACTTTGCTGGAGAACAAATGAATGGTTGGATGGTTAGGAATCTTTCTGAGAAGACTACTGAGTAGATTATTGGAAAGGTATTCAATTACAAGGCTCCCCCCGGTAGATGGTGTACAGAGAACTGAACAAACAAGGGTATGAATTTCAGCTCTGCTGCATACTGACTAATGGCTCAGTTTCATCGTCTGTAAAATGGTGATAATACTGCATGACATTAGGTTGTTTTGAGGATTAAATTAGATAACTTTTATAAACCACTTTGCCTGGAACTTATTAATTACTCAACTGTCTGAGGCTATTATTGTTATTATTATCACTGGCCATATTATTAATATATCAGGTAACAGACAATCCTGTATAAATAGCCCACTTGCGTGTGTGTCTGTGTTAATGTGAGGTACATTTTTTAAAATTCAAAAATAAAAAGTCAAGTCATTTGAAAGCTTGGAAAGCTACTCAAAAACTTTCTTCTTTTATTAATAAAATCTACTTTATTTTATACATTGAAATTTGCTAATACCCATTATAACACTTTCTAAAATAAAAAACCTATTTTGTCATATCAGTTGCTTAGCTGTGTATATCTCTGTAGTTAATTAAAGTGATGCCGTTATTTCCATTGGGAATAAAACTCAAATGAAGAATGGTTTTACATAAAAATGATTATTTAAAATAGAAAAAGAAGAAAAGGAAGAAGATGGAGAAGGGAGGAGGAGAAGGAAGAGAGGAGGAGAACAGCCCAGGGGTTGAAAAAGATAAGATTATCAATTATAATAACTTTTGCAGACTCTAATTATGCTCACCTAAAATTTACCAGTTGGTAAAACAAAAGCAATATTATCAACAGCAAAATAAAGGTGAGCATCATCCTCCTAAGCTGAATTTTTTTTTTTTTCTTTTTTGAGTTGGAGTCTCTTTCTGTCGCCTAGGCTGGAGTGCAGTGGTGCAATCTCGGCTCACTGCAAGCTCCGTCTCCTGGGTTCCTGCCATTCTCCTGCCTCAGCCTCCTGAGTAGCTGGGACTACAGGCACCCGCCACCATGCTCGGCTAATTTTTTGTATTTTTAGTAGAGACGGGGTTTCACCATGTTAGCCAGGATGGTCTCGACCTCCTGACCTCTTGATCCGCCCGCCTCAGCCTCCCAAAGTGCTAGGATTACAGGTGTGAACCACCGCGCCTGGCCCTAAGCTGAATTCTTAAACAAAGCTAGAGAGTAAAGGACCATTGACCTTCGGAATTGACTATTCGGAACACCCATGGTATTTTAGGCACTTCAGCCAGGACTATATATATATAGCCAAGGACTGTCAGAGTGAGGACAGTAATCCCTACAGCAGATTCTGTTTACCTCAGTTTCTTTCCCTCAAATATATCCCACTGGAGATTTCAGAGCTGCAAGAGCTGCAATATAGTTTCATAAATGCCTACTGTAAGCCAGACAAGGCATGTCCAGTGCCCTGGAGATACAGCAGTGAGGAAGACAGGCAGAACCTCTGCTGTCAGGAATACTCATAGCAGTGGGAGGAAATAGATCATAAGCATGTAAGCAGCGAAGTACATGCATACATAGAAACATTCAAACCTCAATAAAGGCAGATAAAAGAAAATAGTGTGTTGGAGAGTGACTAGTATGGAGCCCATTCCAGCTAGGGAGTCAAGGATGATCTGTGGATGTAAAATTTCAATGGAGACCTGAAATATTAGGAAGCAATGACGCAAAGCTATGGAAGAAGAGTGCACTAAGCAAAAGGAGAGCAATTGCTAAGACCCTAAAATAGAAAAGAGAAGGCACCTTTCCCTTGGAGTGATGATTTTCTTGGTGCCTTAGCATTCAGGCTGCTGAAAGGAAGCAAAGACAAGAGAGGGAAGCAACCCAGTAGGTCACTCCTCTCTCAGTCAAAGATGAGGAAGGTTTCTTATCTTTATCTCAGACCATCCTACTGAGGATATCTCTCAAGTCTTTCAGCACTTAGATGGGATAAGGTAGCTAAAACCAGAGGGTTAGCTAAGGTGAGATGCTACAAAAGTATCAATAAGACACTAAACAAAGATAATCCAAAGGGTTAGATACTATTATTTATCTTTTTATTATTATTATTCTATAGTATATTAATCATTATTATCATCATCAGAACTGTCCTACCAAATTATAATTTCTATGGGGAAGGAAACTTGTATGTTTTATCATAGTGCATGGCACATAAAAGGTGCTCAATAAAAAGTCTGTTCAAAAATGCATTGAAACACATGCATGACTAGAAAGAGCCAAACAATATTATAATGGGACTTCATTTCACCTCACTTTCTGTGTCCTCCCATTCCTTCTTGCCTACCTGTTCCTCTTCTGCTTCCCAACCCTGAAGAGCCCAATTTTCCCTTTATTCCCCTCACCCATTACCATTTGCTTATGGACCCAGCCATATCCTTTGTCAAATTTTCCTTTGCTTCAGGATTATATTAAATTTCATTCTTCACTGTCCCATGAACTCTATTAAAGTTTTCATTATGTACTGCAATTAGGATCTGTCTGTCTGGACACAAAGCAAGCCAGGGATGTGGTCAGGAGGATAGCAGAGCAAGAGGGACAAATGTATGTACCAGAACCCCTGGGTGAATGCTGCTGTCCTGGGCTGGAAAGCCTAGGCCGCAGAGAAAATGAAGGCACTTCCATGGATACTGGTTGAAGCACACATTCTTTAAGAACAGATTCTTGCTGTTGCAGGATATTATAGGCAGGGTTATATAGGTGTTCTTATTCACTATTTCACAAATATTCTAAAATTTCACCAATTACAGAGATCATTTTGATGAACTAGTGTTCTCTTTGGGAAGGTTATGTTAATCAAATTGTATTCCTAAAACCTAAATACAGTACATATGAGAACTTTGATAGAGTTCATAGGACAGGGAAGAATATGATAAAACAGACAAGGTTCCTGCCCTTATAGAAATTATAATTTGGTGGGACAGTCCTGATGATGATAATAATATGTTAAATATACTAAAATAATAATAATAAGATGAATAATAGTATCTAACCTTTTTTGATTACTTTGAGGATTTCACATATGAGGCATTGTATGTGAAGTATTTAATACAATGCCTGACATGTCGTAAATATTCCGTTACTACTAAGTCTTGCATGAATGCATCTCCATGAAGCATGGATTAGGGAAAATATAGAATTTAAAGCTGCATTATCTTAGAGATCTAATGCTTATGCTAATCCTGTTATTTTACAAGTGATTCAATAAACACAGGTTAGGTAACTTTACAAATGAGTCAGTGAAAACACAGAGGTTAGGAGCATGCCTGTGGTCACAGAGCTCATACATATGTGCTGCTATCCCTGAGATATGAAAGCTGTGGACCCACTCCACAGAAAAGTAAATATATCCGAAGTTGTGCGTAAAGTTGCAGGGAGGCCCCTGAATCTCATCCATAACATCCTCTGTATCCACGGGCGCGGTTAAGTACCCCACACTTGCTGCCTTTGTGTGTTATCTGACTTTGAGAATGTTTTGCATGTTGACTAGTCCTGACACAAGCAGTGTTTGAAATAATACTTTACTGCTGTAATTTTCTTCATAAACCCTGGTTGCTGATCATATGAGCAGATGACTCCCCGATGTGCTGAGTAAACACATTTCCAGCTTGAGAGGGATGCTGTGTAATGACACTTGGAAAGTTCAGTATCCTGTTTATCTAGTATCTAATTATATGGGCATGCAACAAGTAAACTTTTATCCTTGAAAACCAGAAAAAATGTAGTGATTTTTAGATAAATGTGCCTCTTTATATGCATATAACCTTTCCTGTATATCTGTGGTCTTTGGTGTACTAATATTTTGATAGATTAAGAAAATGAGGAAAACGAAGTAGGAAAAAGCTATTCAAGCTATTTTAGAAAATGGCTTGCATATTTAAGATATGTCAAAAACAAAGCAGTGTTACTTAGTGATGAAGTGAAACCTTGGTATTAAAAAAATGTCTCCACCTATCGTTCACTTATAAATTCAACAAATATGTCTGAAGACTTACTGTGGATAATAAGAAAATGATAGTCCTGAGGGAGAGAAAGGTACACAATTATAAGGCAGGGAGAATTGCAGTGATAAAATGTGCATGGAGTATTTGGGGCACACAAGAAAGACAGGCATTTAACCTCACAAAGGAGCGAATTGCTGGGCTGTGTCAGGGAGGCAACAGCATCCCGGGAAGAGGGCGTTGCCTGCATAAAGGCCTGAAAAAGCAGGCATTTCAGAGTATCCTGATGAGTTAATTCAGAGTGTTGCAGGTTAATGGTGCTAATCACTTACTAGCCTTTCTTTATTTTAGCTACTAGGCAAAAGATACAAGAAGCCAAAAGGACTCAAAAGTAGCAGTTTCATTAATGTGAGTCCAAGAAATACTAAAGCTTAAGTCTTTCTAGTAAAACTAGAATGGAGAACTTGGGTGGAATGAAAAGCCACAGGGTAAGTGTACAACAACTATGATGCAAATTCAGACTCAAGGATGCTTGGGAGGGCTCAAGGTTGATAAACAAACATGGGTACACTTACACAGTCTTCCTACTGCATGGAAGATCACAAGTCTGGTTACAAATGGTCATAAACAGTCACAATTAGGTGGGATAGCCAGCAAGGAGGTACATTGTGCTTAGCAGGTGGACTCAGGAAGAAGAGGAGAGCCTAGACCTTTCCCGGTGATTGATCCTAGAAGCAGCAACCCAAAAGAGAAATGGGGTGGGAAAGGAAGGAGGATGGAAGAAGTTTTAACCAGCTGACGGGTTCACCTTACCCGCTGCTTTGACAGAGCCAATTTATTAAGACAGGGGAATTGTAATAGAGAAAGAGCTTAATTCACACAGAGCCAGCTGTATGGAAGACCAGAGATTTATTATTACTCAAATCAGTCTCTGCAAAAACTCAAGGATTGGAGTTTTTAAGGATAATTTGTTTGGGGTGGGGGGGGGTTGGAAAGTGGGGAGTGCTGATTGGTCAGGATGGAGATGAAATTATAGGGAGTTGAAGCTCTCCTCTTGTGCTCAGTCAGTTCCTGGTTGCGGACCACGAGGCCAGATGAACCAGTTTATTGATCTGAGTGGTGCCAGCTGATCCATCCAGTGCAGGTTCTGCAAAATATCTTAAGCACTGATCTTAGATTTTAGAATAGTGATGTTATCCCGAGGAGCAATTTGGGAGGTTGAGAATCTTGCAGCCTCCAGCTGCATGACTCCTAAACCATAATTTCTAATCTTGTGGCTAATTTCTTAGTCCTGTAAAGACAGTTTAGTCCCCAGTCAGGAAGGGGGTTTGTTTTGAGAAAGAGCTGTTACCGTCTTTGTTTCCTAGTTAAACTAAAAACTAAGCTCCTCCCAAAGTTAGTTTGGCCTACACTCAGGAATGAATCAGGACAGCTTGGAGGTTAAAAGCAAGATGGAGTCGGTTAGGTCAGATCTCTTTCACCATCATAATTTTCTCAGTTATAATCTTTGCAAAGGCGCTTTCCAAGTGATGAAAGGAAAAATACTTGTTGATGTCTCCATATCTGTGGGCTGGGGCAGTAATATGGAAAGAAGAGTTCCCCCCTACAAAAGAGCAAGGGGCTGTGTGCCCATAAAGGGTGGGAGCCCACAGTGAGTTTTATGTTTTAAGTTTTTCAATCAGGTATCTTTGGTAACGGTCCTTTGGAACTCTGTTCTACTCTTGTACTCACTCTGGCTCTAAGGAGACCTAGCTGACCTGCTCTATTTGCTGTAAGATTCAGCCATTCTAACTGGGAAGTTAAAGATCCCATGAACTTCAGAGACCCGTCTCCTCTCCTAGGTGAATGAAGGAATTAGAAATCAATCAAAGAGACAGGACTCATCCAGCCTTGAAAACAACTGTCCTAAATGTTCCCTTTATCAGTGGAAATGTGACAGATTAAGGCTAACCTCCACTCAAGATTGTGCCTTTCACCTGAGAGCAAATTGAGCTACGGATTCAAAGTGAATCTTTTCTTATTTTGCAATTGAAAATTGGAGCCAGACAGGCAAAACATTAAAAAGAAAAATTGAAAAGTCATGGAGCCACCTCTGTGAAAGAGAGATACATGAATAAATAATCAAGTAATCATTGCTTCTTGGCTGGGCCCGGCTAATCACTTCCTGATTGGTCTCCCTCCCTCCTGTCTCCCCCATCTCCAATCTGTGCTGCACCTGGCTACCTGCTAATGTAGAGCTGTGATCATATTTTCCAGTTGAAAAATTGTGACTGACCCCCAGTTTTCTACGGAAATATGTCCAGATACTTCACTCTGATACTGAGAGTCTTCCATGTTCTGACCACAGCCTAACATTCTAGTTTCAATTCTCCCTTTTCCTTACACATATTCTTTAGTCCAGACAAACAGAACTATTCCCTGATAACCTAGTCACCTCAGGATTCCTCATCTCTCATTCCTGGCTGTTACATTTCTCATGTATATTTCCTTAAGAATTCAAGCCCTCTTCTCCCTGTCAAAGTCATATTCGTGTCAAAAATATCACTAGCCCTTGGGCAGGCACAGTAGCTCACACCTGTAATCCCAGCACTTTGGGAGGCTGATGCAGGAGGATTACTTGAGGCCAGGAGTTCAAGACCAACTAGTCATATATAGTGAGACCCCCATCTCTTCAAAAAACTTGACAATAATTTAGGCATGGTGGTGCACGCCTGTAGTCCCAGCTACTTGGGCAGCTGAGGTAAGAGGATCACTTGAGCCCAAGTTTGAGGTTACAATGAGCTATGATTTCACCACTGGACTGCAGCCTTGGTGATAAGGCAAGACCTTGTCTCAAAAAATATGTGTGTGTATTAATATATATTATATATTAAATAAATTAATATATTATATATTAAATAAATTAATATATTATATATTAAATAAATTAATATATTATATATTAAATAAATTAATATATAATATATTAAATAAATATAACTATTAAATAAATTAATATATATTAAACAAATATAACTATATCAAATAAATTAATATATATTACATAAATATAACATATTAAATTAATATGTTATATATTAAATAAATATAACTATATTAAATAAATTAATATGTTATATATTAAATAAATATAAATATATTAAATAAATTAATATATTATATAGTAAATAAATATAACTATATTAGATAAATTAATGTATTATATATTAAATAAATTAATATATTATATATTAAATAAATATAAATATATTAAATATAATTATTTAATATATTTAACTAGTTTTTAGCACCTCAGCCACATGAACTTCCTCTCCATCAAGTACTCAAGTTACTGTTTTTTTAAATCAACATTATGGCTATTCAAGGAATAAAGTACATCTATACAACATGTATTTGATTTATGTAGAAATGTAAACAAAAAGTAAACACCCATAGGTCCCATCACTTAAACACAACTACTATGAATATTTTGGCACATTTCTTTTTTTTAACTTTTATGTTCAGGGGCACATGTGCAGGTTTGTTACATAGGCAAAATTGTGTCATGGGGGTTTGTTGTACAGATTATTTAATCACCCAGGTATTAAGCCTAGTACCCATTAGTTATTTTTCCTTATCCTCTCCCTTCTCCACCACTCCACCCTTTGAAAGGCCCCAGTGTGTCTTGTTCCCCTGTATGTGTCCATGTATTCTCATCATTTAGTTCCCACTTTCAAGTGAGAACATGCTGTATTTGGTTTTCTGATCCTGCATTAGTTTGCTGAGGATAATGGCCTCCAGGTCCATCCATGTCCCTGCAAAGGATGTGGTGTCATTCTTTTTTATGGCTGCATTGTATTCCATAGTGTATATATACCACATTTTGTTTATCCAATCTAACATTGATGACCATATGTCTTGATTCCGTGTATTTGCTATTGTAAATAGTGCTGCAATGAACATATGCATGCATATGTCTTTATAATAGAATGATTTATATTCCTTTGGGTATATACCCAATAATGGATTGCTGAGTTGAGTGGGATTAATATTTCTGTCTTTAGGCCATTGAGGAGTCACCACACTGTCTTCTGCCATGGCTGAACTGATTTACACTTCCACCGACAGTGTATAAGCATTCGTTTTTCTCCACGACCTTGCCAGCATCTGTTATTTTTTTACTTTTTACTAATAACCATTCTGACTGGTGTAAGATGGTATCTCATTGTGGCTTTAATTTGCATCTCTCTAATGATCGGTTTTTTCATGTGATTGTCGGCCACATGTATGTCTTCTTTTGAAAAGTGTCTGTTCACGTCCTTTGCCCACTTTTTTATGGGGTTATTTTTTTCTTGTAAATTTATCTAAGTTCCTTATAGAGTCTGGATATTAGACTTTTGTCAGATGCATAGTTTGCAAAAATTTTCTCCCATTCTGTAGGTTGTCTGTTTACTCTGCTGATAGTTTCTTTTGCTGTGCAGAAGCTCTTTAGTTTTATTAAATCCCATTTGCCAATGTTTGCATTTGTTGCAGTTGTTTTTGGCATATTTATCATGAAATCTTTGCCCATGCCCATGTCCTGAATGGTATTGCCTAAGTTGTCTTCAGGATTTTTTTAGTTTTAAGTTTTATATTTTAGTCATTAATCCATCGTGAGTTAATTTTTGTATATGGTGTAAGAAAGAGGTCCAGTTTCAATCTTCTGCATATGGCTAGCCAGTTCTCACAGCACCATTTACTGAATAGAGAATCCTTTCCCCATTGCCTATTTTTGTCAGGTTTGTCAAAGATCAGATAGTTGTAGGTGAGTGGTCTTATTTTGTGGTTCTCTATTCTATTCCATTGGTCTAGGTATCTGTTTTTGTACCAGTGCCACACTGTTTTGGTTACTGTAACCCTGTAAGTATAGTTTGAAGTCAGGTTGTGTGATGCCTCCAGCTTTGTCATTTTTGCTTAGGATTGTCTTGGCTGTTTGGGGTCTTTTTTGATTCCACGTGAATTTTAAAATAGTTTTTTTCTAATTCTGTGAAGAATGTCAGTGGTAATTTAATGGGAATAGCATTGAATCTATAAATTTCTTTGGGCAGTATGGCCATTTTCATGATACTGCTTCTCTCTATCCATGAGCATGGAATGTTTTTCCATTTGTTTGTGTCATCTCTAATTTCTTTGAGCAGAGTTTGTAGTTCTCCTTGTAGGGATCTTTCACCTTCCCACTTAGTTGTATTGCTAAGTATGTTTTATTCTTTTTGTGGCAATTGTGAATGGGAATTTGTTCCTGATTTGGCTCTCAGCTTGCCTGTTGTTGGTGTCTAAGAATGCTAGTGATTTTTGCACATTGATTTTGTGTCTTGAGACTTTCTTGAAGGTGTTTATCAATGTAAAAAGCTTTTGGGCTGAGATGATGGGGTTTTCTAGATATAGGATCATGTTATCTGCAAACAGGGATAATCTGACTTTCTCTCTTCCTATTCGGATGCCCTTTATTTCTTTCTCTTTCCTGATTGCCCTGGCCAGAATTTCAATACTATATTGAATCGGAGTGATGAGAGAGGGCATCCTTGTCTTGTGCTGCTTTTCAAAGTACATTTCTTTCCAGTCTTTTTAATCCATAAAAACCCACATACATGCCTCACTATCTCTACTAGAGCAAAAGCTCCTTGTAGGTAGGGAGTGGCTCACACCTGCAGCGTCTATTACTGTGCATTGCGCTCAGCAGGCCTCAAAATATTTAACTGGGCTGAACCAACAAGCATTCATTGAATACCTAAGATGTGTCTGATATTTTGGAGTAAAAGCAAAAAAATCTATCCCCAATGACATATTAAGTGACAGTATATAAAGAGACCATCATTTATGTCTATAGTAATCTGAAAGACTTGCTGTCTCCTACTCCGATGTTGCAATCATACCAGCATACCAAGGGCCCTTAGCTGCTTTGTTCCAGGGCCTACTGGGCATTGGAGGAATGGGGGTGAGGATTGGGTTCAGAGTAGGATCAAGGTTGGAGGGGAATTGTAAGGGTCAAATGTTAGGGAAACTGTGGAATAGAAATGAAGCATATAACCAGGTATTCTGATTCTGAAGTCAGTCTCTGCAACATTTTAAACTCTAAGAGGCATATAGTTGCACCAATACTAGCCTGACCTTACATGAGACTGTGTAACTGTAACACCATAGCAGGCAAGATTTGGGTCTTCTGTTGATGAGACTGCTGAGCTGGCCTTCCTCATGGACAGCAGCAGCAGCCTTAAAAGACTTAGGGCTTCTTAATAATTGTCACAGGTCTCTGGAATCCAGATAGTCTCATTCTAGCAGATATTAACTAAGGCCTCAAGAGCTTTCCAGGTTTTCAAACACTCCAAAACCATTCATTTGATTTTTTTGTTTTTTAGCTTTTATGTAAAGAGTACAGGATATATGAATCAGAAACACTCAAATTCAAATCTGTGTATTATCTATGAGATCTAGAGTGTCAATTAAACTGTCTAAGCTGCTGTTTCATCATTTGTAAAATGGGAAGGATTCATCTGCATTATAAAGCTGCTTGAAGATTATCTTTAAAATATACGGGTTTGGTACACAGTCTGTGTACAACAGATACAGCTGTTATTATTACTATTACCATTAAATGTCTTCGGAGGGTGTCTTAGTCCCTTTTCTATTGCTATAAATGAGTACTTGAGACTGGGTAATTTTTTTAAAAAAGAAATTTATTTCTTACAGTTTTGGAGGCCAGGAAACTCCAAGGTCTAGGGGCAGTATATGGTGAGGGTCTTCTAGGCCTTCTTGCTGGTATGGATTCTCTGCAGAGTCCCAAGATGGCATAGAGCATTACACGGTAAGGGAGTTTGCAAGAAAGAGCCAACCTGACTTTTTGTAACAGGCACACTTCTATGATAACTAACCCACTCCCATGCTAACCCATTAATCCATTAACCCATTAATCCATTAACCAGTAAATGAATTAATCACTTATAGGCCCCACCTCTCAATATTGTTACATTGGGGATTACGTTCCAACATGAGTTTTGGAGAGGACAGTCATTCGAAACATAGCAGAGGGTTAGAATCAAAATAAGCATTTTCCTTAGTCAATTCAGGCTATTATAACAAAGTACCTTAGACTTCGTGGCTTATAGGCAACAGAAATTTATTTCTCATGGTACTGGAGGCTGAGAGTCTGAGATCAAGGTGCCAGCATGGTAGGGTTTTGGTGAGGGCTCTCTTGTGGGTTGTAGATTGCCAAATTCTTCTTGTAGCTTCACGTGACATATGATGGAAAGAGGATGAAAGCTCTCTGGGGTTGCTTTCATAAGGTTGCTAATCCCATTCCTACATCCTAAGGCCCTACCTCTACATACTGTGATATTGGGCATTTAAATTTCAAGGTATCAATTTTGGGGGGGACACAAATATTCAGTCCACAACAGTATTCAAGGTCCTTTAAGAGGCCTTGGCACAAGAAAAACACTAGAGAATCCCATAAAGTAAGAGAATACCTAGTGCAGTGAGATTCCACTTCCCAGTTCGACACCCACAACCCTGGCAGTGTTGGCAGGACAAGAAGCCAAAAACTGTAACTAGCTGTATTCAGCAATGACACATTAGATGTACCTTTCTTGGTCAGTCCCTTTTGAATTACTCATGAAAATAGCTGAAATATACCTTTGACATTAAAATTCCAACCTTAATAGTAAATTTGGACTTGAAGTTTCTTGATGTCACTACTACAGAAAGGCCTTCATTTCTCATAGAATTCTGCAAAACATAATGTATTCCTTTGGCTCAAACACAAGCCAAGTGTCTAAAATGCATAGCTATTCAAGGCCAGAAGCACTCCGTATGATTTTCTGGCATTTTCTTTTTTCCTGAAATGCTAAAAACAGATTTTTTAAAGAAAAAGACAATAAAACCCCTACTATTTTAATCTCTGTACTATCTCTGTAACAGATAAAAAAGAAATATGAATAACTAATACAAAATTATTTCATTTAGCCATAGGAGATAACCTAGATAGGGAAGTGGATTTTAATTAGTTAAAAAATATATAAATACGCATACAAAGTCTTAACTAAGAAAGCATTTATGAAGGAAAATCAGTGTTATAAAGGCAGAGCTCTAATTTAAGATTGCGGGCCAGTGCCTAATTTTGATTTGAAGTTACAATTAGTTAGAATAAACAATTGCAAATGATTCCATTTTCTTCTGAACCTTTTGTAAGAGCATCCCTTGTGTAACAAAAAAATGTATATATGCTATTTTCAATATAAAAATAGAATGGTTATTTCTCAGCCAGCTATAGGCAGAATGGCAAAGCAGATCTTATGTTTTGTGGCCTGTTTTCTCTTAGAATTATCTACAAACCTGACTCACCCCATCTCTGTGTTCCATCCTTACCAAATGCCCAAAAGTTATTTCCTCACAAATCACAACAACTAGCAAATCTTTCTTGTAGACCAGGCTGAAAGCTAATTTTCTAATGAATTATGTAACTCATTCTTTCTACAAACATTTCTTTGCCTCTCAATCGCCATGGCAGGTCCCAACGAAAGACCTAGGGATACAAATAAAATGTGAAACCTCCCTGCCAGATAGTTGCCTGAGTCAATTGTGGTAAGATCAGTGATAGCTGAAATACAACTGAGGGTTTGTAGGATGGGAGAAGAGAGAAAATAAATTCTGTCCAAGGGAAAGAGAAGCTGATCTGGAAATGATTCACATAGGAAGAAAGCTGACCCAAGGAAGGAGTGGGGAATCATTAATCTAAGTAGAGGGAACAAAGTGAGTTACCGACTGGTAACAGTTTAAAGCCTTATCCTTCCCAAATTATTTGCTTTTAAAAGCAACAGAACCTAAAGCTAAAGGAAAGAAAGAAATTTGGCCAAAGACTTCAGGCTTTAGCTATAGAGTATAATTTAGACTGCAGAAAGAAAGTACCACAATTCCAGGAAAATGACCAATGGTTTGCATTAGAATTTTCTTTTAAACATACATGTCCAGAACTGATGCCTGACTCAGTGAATCAGTATCTCATGGGGAAAGCATCTGCAAAGCTCCATTTATAAAGCTCCTGAGCTGATTCTGATGTGCTGCCTTGTTAAGAATTATTTCTCTTAATATGAATCCTTAATGTATGAAGCAGAGCCCCAGGATTCATCCCCTTCTCTGACAATACCATCCCCAAGTTCACGTTTGCTACTCATTTTACCATTTTAATAGCATTGAGCTCACTGTACCTGTTTTACAGGATTTATGTTTTTTCACTAGACTGGAAACACTTCAAAGACAATGACGTCACTTAGTACAGGGGTACAAGACAGTTAGTATATCTTTCTAAAAGAATTAAATTTTCAGTTCAGCTATATTTTGCCAAATCTACAAACATTTCTAAAACACTTTGTATGTTACAAGCATGCCATAGGATTAAATGAGATCACATATGGGAAAGCACTTTCTAAAATGTAAGTGACTCACATGGTCTTGAGGTATTGTAACAAACTACTGGGAGCTTCTTAATTCCATTAAAAAAAACTCAGTAGGCTGGAGTGTTTCTCTCAATTCACACTTGCATATCAATATAAACATATTTAAGTCCCATAAAAAGAGACATCTTAATTAATTTGTTTTCATAATTCCATACTACCCTTCAAACAAACAGCATTCTAGCTTACATGTTTCGTTAGTTAATTTTCTGTGTGGGGACATTAGGAGAGAAAGAGTACCCAGGTGGCCATTTTGAAAGACAATGTTCATGTTTTGAAATGTTCATAAAAAAAGAAAACAGCCCTGCAACCTTAAGAACACCATCCCTATCGATTGTCCATTTTCTTCCCTCAGCAAACTGGGTTTCATTCTGAAGATATCATTGTTCCTATTATAAATTAAGAGAAAATCCCTTCAATTTTGCTATTGAAAAATGTTTGTTTACACAGAAAAGAAACCAACAACGACACTACTGGTGCCTGTTTTCCCAGCTGTTAGCAATGGAAATGATACTCTTTATGATGATGGAGCCGGATGATGAAGCTGCAGCAATCTCATATCCTAATCTCTCCTGTGCTGTGTGGTTGTGCAAGTTTGTTTTCTGAGCACTTATTACACAGTATATCAGCCTTCTTTAACCCTTTTCTAACAATTCTATAATCTCTACTTTACTGGTTCCTCACCACATTTCAGTTTGTATGACAACAACCTCATCTTATCATTTGGACTGCTGGCCTTAGCAACCATATTTCTAAAGAAAAAGCATCTCTGTACATATTAGATCCCATTACCCTCAAATACATAATAAGTGGCAAGTGTCCCCCATCCCCACTCCTTTTATGGGTGAAAAATGGTCATCCTAGACACACATGGTATGTTTTAATCAAAATATAATCAAAACAAAGAAACATATGCATTACTTCATCTATCTTTTTATACTAATATATTATCACTGTCAAGAGGGATTTCGAGTGGCTGATTCAACAAATAATTACGGGGACCTATTTTATGCTTGGTACTGGGGGGATTCAAGGAATCTAGCTCAGTTTTTAAAGAAGAGTTAAACCAATACTAAATGCATGAACAGTTGATCATGGTGGACAAGCTTTTTGACGTACTGCTGGATTTGGTTTGCCAGTATTTTATTGAGGATTTTTGCATCGATGTTCATCAGGGATATTGGCCTGAAATTTTCTTTTTTTATTGTGTCTCTGCCAGGTTTTGGTATCAGGATGATGCTGGTCTCATAAAATGAGTTAGGGAGGAGTCCCTCTTTTTCAATTGTTTGGGATAGTTTCAGAAGGAATGGTACCAGCTCCTCTTTGTACCTCTGGTAGAATTTTACTGTGAATCCATCTGGTCCTGGGCTTTTTCTTGGTTGGTAGGCTATTAATTACTGCCTCAATTTCAGAACTTGTTATTGGTCTATTCAGGGATTTGACTTCTTCCTGGTTTAGTCTCAGGAGGGTGTATGTCTAGAAATCTATCCATTTCTTCTAAATTTTTCTAGTTTATTTGCGTAGAGGTGTTTTTAGTGTTCTCTGATGGTAGTTTGTATTTCTGTGGGATCAGTGGTGATATCCCATTTATCATTTTCTATTCTGTTTATTTGATTCTTCTCTCTTTTCTTCTTTATTATTCTGACTAGTGGTCTATCTATTTTGTTAATCTTTTCAAAAATACAGCTCCTGGCTTCATCCCTGGGATGCAAGGCTGGTTCAACTTACTCAAATCAATAAACATAATCCATGACATAAACAGAACCAATGACAAAAAACCACATGATTTTCTCAATAGATGCCGAAAAGGCCTTTGATAAAATTCAGCCCATCATGCTAAAAACTCTCAATAAACTATCTTAATAGTTTATTGAGATAAACTATTCAGTAGAACGTATCTCAATAATAAGAGCTATTTATGAGAAACCCATAGCCAATATCGTACTGAACTGGCAAAAGCTGGAAGCATTCCATTTGAAAACTGGCACAAGACAAGGATGCCCTCTCTTACCACTCCTGTTCAACATACTATTGGAAGTTCTGGCCAGGGCAATCAGGCAAGAGAAAGAAATAAAGGGTATTCAGATAGGAAGAGAGAAAGTCAAATTGTCTCTGTTTGCAGATGACATGATTGTATATTTAGAAAACCCCATCGTCTCAGCCCAAAAACTCCTGAAGCTGATAAGCAACTTCAGCAAAGTCTCAGGATACAAAATCAATGTGCAAAAATCACAAACATTCCTATACACCAATAATAAACAAAGAGCCAAATCATGAGTGAACTCCCATTCACAATCGCTACAAAGAGAAAAAAATACCTAGGAATACAACTTACTATTGACAATAGCCACTATTGACAATAGCAACTTACAACGGATGTGAAGGACCTCTTCCAGGACAACTACAAACCACTGCTTAAGGAAATAAGAGAAGACACAAACAGATGGAAAAACATTCCATATTCATGGATAGGAAGAGTCAATATCATGAAAATGGCCATAATGCCCAAAGCAATTTATAACTTCAATGCTATTCCCATCAAGCTATCATTGACTTTCTTCACAGAACTAGAAAAAAACTACTTTAAATTTCATATGGAACCAAAAAAGAGCCCATATAGCCAAGACAATCCTAAGCAAAAAGAACAAAGCTGGAGGCATCATGCTACCTGGCTTCAAACTATACTACAAGGCTAGAGTAACCAAAACAGCATGATACTGGTATTAAAACAGATATATAGACCAACGGAACAGAACAGAGGCCCCAGAAAAAACACCACACCTCTACAACAATCTGATCTTCGACAAACCTGACAAAAACAAGCAATGGGGAAAGGATTCCCTATTTAATAAATGGTGCTGGGAAAAGTGGCTAGTCATATGCAGAAAAAAAGAAACTGGACCCCTTCCATATACCTTATACAAAATTAACTCAAGATGGGTTAAAGACTTAAACATAAACCTAAAACCTAAAACCTAAAACCTAGAAGAAAACCTAGGCAATACCATTCAGGACATGGGCATGGGCAAAGACTTCATGACTAAAACACCAAAAGCAATGGCAACAAAAGCCAAAATTGACAAATGGGATCTAATTAAACTAAAGAGCTTCTGCACAGCAAAAGAAACTATCATCAGAGTGAACAGGCAACCTACAGAATGGGAGAAAAATTTTGCAATTTATCCATCTAACAAAGGTCTAATGTCCAGAATCTACAAGGAACTTAAACAAATTTACAAGGAAAAAAACAAACAACCCCATCAAAAAGTGGGCAATGATATGAACAGACACTTCTCAAATGAAGACATTTATGTGGCCAACAAACATATGAAAAAAAGCTCATCATCATTGGTTATTAGAGAAATGCAAAGCAAAACCACAGTGACATACCACCTCATGCTAGTTAGAATGGTGATTGCTAAAAAGTCAGGAAACATGCTGGAGAGGATGTGGAGAAATAGGAATGCTTTTCCACTGTTGGTGGGAGTGTAAATTAGTTCAACCAATGTGGAAGACAGTGTGGCGATTCCTCAAGGGTCTAGAACCAGAAATGCCACTTGACCTAGGAATCCCATTACTGGGTATATACCCAAAGAATTATAAATCATTTTACTATAAAGACACATGCACATGTATGTGTATTTCAGCACTATGGACAATAGAAAAGACATGGAACCAACCCAAATGCCCATCAATGATAGACTGGATAAAGATAATGTGGCAAATATACACCATGGAGTACTATGCAGCCATAAAAATTAATGTGTTCATGTCTTTTGCAGCAACATGGATGAAGCTGGAAACCATCATTCTCAGCAAACTAACACAAGAACAGAAAACCAAACACCGCATGTTCTCACTCATAAGTGGGAGTTCTCATTCATAAGTTGGAGAACAGTGAGAACACATGGACATAGGGAGAGGAACATCACACACCAGGGCCTGTGAGGAGGTGGGGGGCAAGGGGAGGGAGAGCATTAGGACAAATACCTAATGCACGCGGGGCTTAAAACCTAGATGATGAGTTGATGGGTGCAACAAACCACCATGGCACGTGTATACCTATGAAACAAACCTGCACATTCTGCACATGTATCCTAGAACTTAAAATATAATTATAAATAAATAAATAAAAGTGTGAACAGCTAAGGATGGGACAAGGGCTATGATTGAAGTACAGGAAGGTGCTATAGAGTAGCTCTTAGGGTTGGACAGAATTTGCTTCATAGGAGGTGACTGCACATGGGGAGAAGGGAGAGCTGCTTCACAGGAGTTTGATGCTCCACCAATGTTAGTCCCCATCCCATCTTGATGAAGTTTGGGCAGTAGAAGAAAACTTGGGAATGAAGGTATAGGCATTGTCTCTTCTCTTCCCATTGGAAGAAGTACTGAGATTTTTTTCTTCATTAATGAGCAACTCCTTTGTTGCCTCTCTAACTCCTTAATATCTTCCCCTATGAGCCCTTTTTCCTCTTTCTTCTTCTAGTGGTCTGGATATGACCACCATAATTTCTTTTCTACACAGTAAACAAGAATCTCCTTCTCCTTTGTCTCTCTGCCTGCAGGATTGTAATTCAGCTCCTCTTCCCCACAGCAGCCTAAGAGATATTTCTAAGGCTCCATCCAAACTGCTGCCATTCTTCTGCTTAAAACCCTTCAGTAACTCTCTATTCCCTATGATAAAACCCCAAAACTAGCATGGCACCAGGATATTTTGTGGTTTGTTCCTCTCTGCTCCTTAGCGCTCTCTCTCTTACCCCAGCCCATGTTTTACTCTGTCTCCAGACACCCTGAGCATAACATATTTCTAATATTATGTGGGGCATGTTCATAGGCTCTGCAAATTAATGTCACTTCCTTTGCTTAGAGGAGTCTCCATGATGGTTCTGGAATTTAAATTCAGCCTCTGCTGCTTACTCAGCGTAGAGCCATCAGCCAGGCCCTTCAGCTATCCAAGCCTGAGTTTTCTCATAGTTAAACCTCAATAAAGAATGAATTGCAGAGACCTTATCAGGACTGGAAATAACGTATCCTAGCACAAAGGCTGGTACATCATAGGTGTGCAGGATTATCAACTACTTCTGATCCTTCCAAACTCCAAGCATTACCTCTTAAGTTGGGGCTTCTTCTAATCCTTCAATTAAAAGTGACCACTTTTCTCACGCCTGTATTCCCAGCACTTTGGGAGGCCAAGACGGGCAGATCTTGAGGTCGGGAGATCGAGACCATCCCGGCTAACACGGTGAAACCTCGTCTCTACTAAAAATACAAAAAAAAAAAAAAATTGGCCGGGCATGGTGGCAGGCGCCTGTGGTCCCAGTTACTTGGGAGGCTGAGGCAGGAAAATGTTGTGAACCCGGGAGGTGGAGCTTGCAGTGAGCCAAGATCGTGCCACTGCACTGCAGCCTGGGTGACAGAGTGAGACTCCATCTCAAAAAAAAAAAAAAAAAAGTGACCACTTTCTTCTTCGTTATATCATTAATGCCTTCTTATACTATGCATCTTTTGACACTCACTTGTTTACATGTTAGTCTACCCCTAAAATTCCACAAGAGCAAGGTTCCTGTATTACTCATTTCTGTATTGTTAGACCCTGGTGAAGTTCCTTGCACATAGTTGACACTCACAGTATATGTATTGATGAAATGAATGAATTACTGTTTTACTGGACTTTCTGAGAAGTTTCTTATGCTATTGGCCAGTTCATTGAAACTAGACAGACAAAAACTGGAAATAACCTATAGAATTCTCCATACAATATTCCCATGTTGCAGTTGAGAACGTTGTAGCCTGTAAAATGAGTTCTACTCACGTTTGTGCTGCTAGAAAGTGAAATTCCAGGTAAATGTTTTTCTTATTAGTATTAGCAGTATGGACATTTGCACCTCCCATCATTAGCTCAGAGAAGTAAGTGTGAACCTATCATTAATATATTCTCAATAGGAGGAACAGTGTGTCTCATCTGGGGGACACTATGCATCAGCCTCTCTATGTTTCTTGTTGAAGCTCACAAAACTGAGCTTCAAAATCTTACTCTGTAATGTCACGAAGCCAGGATAGTGACTGGCTAACGTTTCCAGCAACCAACACCAGCCCAACTTTCTTGCAGCTGCCTTCTCCATAGAATGCTGGAGATGAAAAAGAGGAAGAATAAAAAGGAGAATGAGACAGGTAGCTCTTCTTACCCTGTGCCACCTTGCTCTAGCAGTGGTTCTCAGCCAGGGGTGGTTTGGCATACCCCGCAACCCCCAAGATATTGGGCAATATCTGGAAACAGTTTTGGTTGTCACAATGTGGGGGTAAGGATGGATGTGCTACTGGCATCTGGTGGGCGGAGGACAGGAATGCTGGTGAATATTCTACAATACACAGGCCACCCATCCCCAACTCTAGCAAATACTTATTCAACCCGAAGTGTAAATAATGCTGAGTTTGAGAAAACCTCCTCTAAGCGATTTGTACACATTTTACCATTCAGAGTTACCCTGGTGATTTTCTGGAACATTTTAAGAGACAGAGGTTTGAAGAGAATTAGGAGCAACAGGACCTATTAGGACTTAAACAACAAGGAGGGAAGGGTCAGGATTATGTAATGTAAGAGAAAGTTAAGGGAAATTTGCACAAACCAAAACCTCCCTTCACCATTTTCTTCTATAATCCTCCCTCAGGATTCACTGTAAGGATGCTTTATGCTGTGTAATCATGTGGTGAGTATTCCCGAAGTGGGCAATTTGAAATTGATATAATTAACAAAGTACCTGAGGATGTAGTCAATGTTACAACTGAAGTGTTCTTCGCTGATATAATAATTGTGAAATAAGAAACGGCTTTACAGTGGGAGAACTTATTAAGTTCAAATGGATCTTATACGTGAGATGGAATAAACAACATAATGTCCTAGGTTCTTGTTTTGTGGCAATCGTTTGAAATCTATAATAAATTTGCTAAGTGTTTTATTTTATGAGATGTAAGTATATATACCACATAGACTAAATAATTAGTAGCTCTTTTCAATGTACAGAAAATCTCAGATAGTTCTTCTCTGTATACACATTGCTGTTAATCCATTTCTCACAAATTATCATGTAAGAGAAAATTTAGTATTAATAAATGTCCGTAAGCAAAAAAAGTGGTTTTCAATAAAATATGGAGAAATTACATATTTATGAGTGGTTAAAAGAGAAGACTTCTAATATGAGATTTATAGCAATAAATATGAAAGTTTCTGTTCACTCATCAGCTTTCAAGGGCTGATAGTTTAGGATTGGATGTATACATTTCAAAATACATTGTAAAATGCATTAAAATACTAACTGCTTTTATTGCTTTTTCTTAGAGCCATTACCTATAGCAAGCCCAGAACATTAACTACAAATGTGATTTTCATAAAATATATTCCAGGCAAATAGAAAGATAAAAAAACTAAATGACTTTTAGAAAAATAAAAGCAAAACATGATTGAAAGAATAAACATAAAGTCAAAGTTATGACACATATATTCACAGTGGAAGACAGATACTCATTTAAAACACATGACTCTCCTAAAAGCAGAAGTGGAAAGCTCAAGTGAATCATTCATTATACTCTCTGTCACAGCAATGGGGTAGATTTCTTTCCAGAGGTATATCTTTGAATACTTTGTCCACTCTTGTGTGAAATAACTTACAGGATGGCTTTTCCACTGCTTCCATTGTGAGGCCATTCTACAATTTAATAGATATTACTATTGGGAAAACTTTGTAGATACAGAGCCTACATATTCTCTTCTCTTATTCAATTTCATGCCCTGACTTCTAGTTATGCCCCCAGGGAGCATCATAAACAATTCTTTCCCTTCATGGCGATGCATTTTGAATTCTTGGAAATTTGTGTCATATACCCCTAAGTCACTCTCTGAAAAATGTTATATGTACTGTACATCAAGTACTTAATTCCTTAGTCAATGAACAATATATTTAGTTTTTATAATCTTGCCTCTTAAGTCATTTTCCCAGCCTCTTAATCAATCAGCTTTTCTCTAAGCTCCCTCAAGTTTGTCAACATCTTATATTAAAGTACTTGCAAAATGATTTGGTAATCTGATTTCTGTCTTATCAATGCACTGGACAGATCCACGATTGATTCCTAGGCTGTAGCACTCTTATTGGCACCTTTGAAGTATCTTAACAGTTGCCTCATAGTTTTTTATCACTTGCTATATTTCATAGAAGAACTTTCTCGTTCGAAATTTCAGGTAAAGCAGTTACATTTCTAGATTCAGTGATAACAAAGAAGTCATGGCAACTTTTTATTAAAACTTATTTACTCCCTATTGTATGTGATATGCTGTAATAGCCACCTTGCATCAATTATTGATATTTAGAGAATTTTTTTCACTAATTTATATGTTCTCTCAACTCAAAGAGGATGTATATCTAATGTAATACCATCATTTCCATAGAAAGGATGTCTAAAATACTCCACTAAATCTGCCCTAACCAGGGCCCTATACTTGTACATTGCACAAGTTATTAAAGTTACTGAAGGACCTTTGCCAGGTAAATAATTTAACCCCTCTCTTAAATGTATAGTGTGTATAATTAGCACAGACATCTCTGTGTCTTTCAAGTTGATTAGGCATGGAGATCTATGGTAGGGAAACTCTGTATTGTTTTAAATTTCTAAGTCTTTATTTTTAAATATGAGTATTTTCTGTCTTCTAAGATGACCTTTTGTTTTCTCACAAAAATTTTAGTATTCTCCAGGTCCAGAATTAATGTTATTATAAAAACCACTGTTTTTATTTTGTTTTCATTGTCTGGGTATTTTATTGCTACTAGAATCTGTATTTTTCATCCCTAAATTAAGCCAAATATGGGTAGTGAATAAATTTTAAAAGACAAGAACTCTGTTAGCAGAGTCAAATGCATGAAAATCATTGCAATATCTTGAATTTTAATATTAAAAGCCCCTGAAGGAGTAGCTCTAACATATCACAGGACAAAAATATAGAGAAGATATTATTTTCACACAGCCCTAAAATAAATAAGTTGCCTGATACCCAGGACTTTTTAACATTCATGTTAAGGGTGATACCTCAACCACTTCCAGGAAAAAAAAAAAAAAAAAAAAAAAACCAGGCTTGGTGTAAAACTAAATAGTAACTTCTCTCTTTCTGCCAAGGAAGTAGTTTTATAGAACCTTGAGTTGTCACACACTTAGAAATGTATAAGAATAGAAATAATAGTAACCCTTAAGCCAACATTTCACTTTAAGCCACCTATATGAATAAAGATGGTTTTAAAAAGAGGTGAGTTCACCACCTGAAAATATGGTATTTGAATATAGTAATTAAATTTCTAGCTAATAATAGATCTTCATTAAGAATTTGAGAATGTGTCACAACATGCCCTAGGAGCTCATTCATTCTTTATCAAGAGCCCAATATTTACCAGGCACTATACTGGCAGCTGCGTAAGCATGAAAGTTGATGAAAAAGTATACTGTGAAAGTCTCTGTATACTGTGGAGACACAGAGAAGGGAGCATCTACATCAGACCTAAAGATATTTCTCAAAGGATGTGGTTTCATTTGTGTTCTAAATGATGAAGTGGAATTAGATAAATGGGAAAGAGTTGGGAGAACTTTCCATGCAAAGAGAATAGCCTATGCAAATTTAAGAGAGCTGACAAAGCATAAAGTAATTCTGAAAGCCTGGAGAAACATGAGCCACTGGCTGGAAATGATGTTGGAGAGGAATACAGGAGCCAGATCATGAGGGTTTTACGTGCTTATCAAAGGGTTGCAAAACTCTGAAAGATGTGGGGCTTGGAAGTTACATGGGTAGTATAATGCTGTATGTTTCGATTTTGCTTTTGAAGACCAATATGGCAGGCCAATGGAAGGCGACTACAGCTCTGCAAGAATTGAGAAAGACTGTTTATTTAGGAGGCTGTCATAGCAATCCAAAAGAGACATGACGAACCCTTGAATTGAAGCATAGACTAGAAGATATGGCTTTGAAGGATTAAGAAATTATAACCTGAAGGATTTAGAGATTAATTTGGGAATATTTTACTTTGATATTCAGGTGTAGGATATGCACAATTCGGTGAAGAGAGTAAGGTATTTTTCTGTGAAAGGGAACACAGGACGACGATGAGTAGGTTTTATGGAAAATTTGATAATAATACTTTGGACCTGTTGAGTTTAAGGAGCTTATCAGACGTCCCGTAGGAGATGGCCAGAGGGAATTTGGGAAAACGATCTGATCTCAGTAAAGATTTCTTGACCTGGGATATGGAGACAGACATCATTCATGTATAAATTATTGCTGAAGCCAGAAAAGTCAGTGAGTTTACTCAGGTGCCAAGTATTGAGTAACAGAGTGCTGGGAAATGCTGACAATTCGAGAAGACATTAAAAGAAGGCACTCAAGAGAAGACATAGAGAGATAAAAGGAGAACACCAGAGCATAATATTACAGAAGCCAAGGGAGAGGGGCATTAAGGAGGGAGTCATCAACAATGTTAACGCAAGAAAGACGTCACGTAAAACAGAGGCTAGAAGTTGCGTTGGCTTTGGCAATTCAGAGGCTATTACAAATATTAGTAAGAGTCTTTACATCACAGTGGTGGAGCAAGAACCAGGCTGCCATGGGATGAAGAGTAATCAAAATTGCAGTAAGCAACAATTACAAACTGTTTCAAGAAGCTTGAGTGTAAAGGGTCAAGGATTTAAATAATTGATACCTAGAGAGAAGGTTAGAATCAAGGAAATATTTTAAGATGGTAGAGACAAACAGTTTTAAAGAGATTGCAAGGGACAAACAAGAAGAGAATAAAGATATGGGTGGAAGAAAGGCAACACAGTTTATTGGGTTTGTAATTTTTCTCCTGCAGAAATCCAGATGGAGGAGTCCAGATGTTGATGACTTGATTGTTCTAGAGAAGGGGTTTTGAAGGGTGAATGCCACTGAACAGCCAGGTGGCAAGGGAGTATTAATAAGAGAAGCCAAAGTGATGAATTTGGGGGCCTCTAAGATCAATAGAAGGCTGATAACTTGTGGGAATATAGAGGGGTGAAGTCTGGAGGGCTCAGTGAGATCGAAGAGAGAGATATTAGCAAGAGAGATACACAACGATATGGAGAGCAGAGTCACAGAATGCATTTTGCATCTAAGACTTCAGATTAAGAGGGAGTTGCAGAAGTTGGGGTACATAAGAAGGGTTATTTGAGTTCAAAGATTCAAAGGGCTGCAAACCAAGGACACTGACATTATCCAGAATGATGGTAACAAGGGGTGGAGACAAATATAGGAACCCAGTTGACATGGTCCTTAGTGAATGTGGGGAAATGACCAGGACTTCAGGAAAGGAAGCAATATACAGAGTGAAAACAGGGAATAATAGTTGAGTGGCCTGAGTTTGAGAGGAAGTATCTGTGTATGAGTTTACCTTTATATGCCTACAATATCTTTTAACGAACATGTAAGGAACCAATAATGTTGATTGCCTCTGAGTGGCATCCCTTTCATAGCTTTTATATTTGGGGTTATATGAAAGTATTAGACTAAAAATATCAATGGTTTGAAAGTGCTTGAATGAAGCCAGAAGAGAGGCACCCCGCCCTCACTTTTCCTCAGCCTAGCCGGGTTTTCAGAGTGTGAGCTCTCATTTGGTAGGCCTCAGGGGAAGCACTGTTTTCTGGGGAGAATAAAGCTTTGGTTACAGGAGAGAAGAGTGAGTGGTCAGTGAAAGCATCAAGGGTTATCAGGATTGTGCCTGCAGCGATTCAGGGGTCTGTCTAGAAGGCATCACAAAGCAATAGCCTCTTGGAAGTGATATTGTGCCCATGGTGCCCCATTTTAAAATTAATCTACTTAATAGATTTTGGGCTGAAAACAACCAATGTCAGAAATCCAATTTAAAGTTTCCTTTTTATTTTTGAAGAGAATATGGAGTCCAGGCTAAAACAGCTCCCAAAAGCAATATTCTTTACCGTTTACAATAAATCATCAGCTTTCGATCCCATCAGTAAACTAAGAAGTTGGCAGAGGATAATGCAGCGCTCTCTTGAGAGCAGAGATTCTTGTTACCTTATATTCTTATCTTCTATAAAAGTTTATGGTGCTTTTTGTTGTTGTTGCTCTTAAAAAGATAGTATCTTCCTCTCTCCACACAGGACTATTGGGGATGTTTTTCTTTTATTTATCTTGATGAAATCTAATATATGCATTGGCTGAATAACAACTGTAGAAATTGACTGTCATTTTTGAGGAGAAATGAGAAAATATGAATGGAGCCACAGAAAGTATCAGTAAAGCAAATAGCTAGCTTTCTTAACCCAGCATTATCTGACACTGTGATTAAATGCAGTATTCTTGTGTTTTGAACAGTCCTTCTTCCCTCTTCCTCCACCCACATTCTGTCCTCCATAACTAATCAGGAAACATCTGAAACATACTGGGAATAGAGTGACTCTAATTAGATGTTTTTTGCCTGACCCAAATAGTTTTTGGCTTTTATATATTAAATGTTATTACACAGTTCTCTCCCCACAACATAAGGAGTTATGAAATAAGTCTCCTTTTCCTTGTCCTATTTGGAAATAGGTAAATGGCAAAGGCAGGGGCCCCCAGTGCCGTCAACTTGCTGAATCTGGGCCTGGAAGAGAAAGCCCTAGACCAGGGACATGTGCCACCACTGCTTCCTCGCTCATCTGCTTCATGGAAGAGGCTTTTCTTTCCCACAACCTGGATATCAAGAGGCTGTCGAAGTGTCAGGGTTTTCCATTTTGCTCAGTGCAGGTGTTCCTGTTGTTGAGGAGGCCTCCTCTAAACCTGTCAGTCAGAATGATAGGACCTCTCAAGGGCAATGAATTGCACATTCAGATCAAGTCTACCATGGTCAGTATGTGAATGTGATAGACGTTGTGAGCTGGACCATGAACTCTACCCAACCCCAACCCTCTGCTGCCCTTGCCTTGAGTACTGTGCTCTTTTCTACATGTAAACAAGAGCTTTGAATATCAATTGTATTCTTTCTACCCATACATATCCTGTTAACATAGCAGTGCACACGATATTGTGCAGAACTTTGCATCTAATTCAAATGTCAAGGGGGAATTTTTACAGCTGCTGGATTTACTTTAAAATAGAGCTTTGGCAGCTGAAAATAAAGATACAGCACCTGGCTGACCACTTTTGATGATGATAAACAATTGTTGCATTTTGTACAACTATTAACGAGATGACCTCTAACGTCTTCTCTCACTTAAGTCCCTTAACATCTTCTCTAAATGAATCCATTATGTAAAAGGAAAGATCCTATGGTTAGGTAGTATATGTTTACTGTAGCTTCAAAATAGTACTTGAAAAGATGGCTATTGAAGAGCCGTCTTAACTGATAAGTTTCCCCTGGCTTCTCACGTCAAATGCAGAGAGAGCAGAGTGAATGTTGTTCAGTGGCTGTATATCAAGGTCTACATATCATTTCACATAAAATAAAAAGTTTTCCTTTTCAGAGGATTTATTTTAAATGTCAAGAGTGTTTCTTGAGGGAACCTATACTCATGCTATTGATCTTATGTTGAAAGAAGAATTACTGTTTATCAAATACATCTAGTATGTGATTACCCTTTCCCCACTCCACTACCTTGTGGACTACTTCCATCTTTTTAAAATATAAATATCACCTGAAATGATACTGACTGGAATATTATGAAAAGTTTAACCTGTACTTCAACTATCTAATAGCTCAGAGCACAAATATTTTGATGCCTTTTGAAGTAGCACTTGGATTCAAAGTAAATGAGTACCTTACTCCTACCTGGACCAGTAGTACTACTGTTTATTCTGTCTTCTGTGTGGACCTCACCTGCTCCCTGTGCACCTCACAGAGGACAGCACCTCAGCCCTCCCAAATGATCCATTGTCTCTGGAACCAAAGTGGTTTTCCTTTTATTAGGGTTGGATAGAGATTAGAAGGGTGCCACAGGGTAGGTAGGGCAGTGTTCACATTTTGCCACTAGGGGATATGGGAAGGAAAAGAAAATGTGTGACCAAGAAAAGGACCTGCTTTTCTTAAAGCATATGTTAGAGTGCACAAAATCTGGACTAAGGCAGGAGACATGGGATCTAGTCCTGGCTCTCTCATGAGTTAGAAGCAGCCTCATTGGAAAATGGCTCTGGACACTGATTTCTGAAATAGCAATAGTTTGCTAGGTTATGCTGCATTAACAACCCTGAAATGTCAGTGACTTATAGAAACAAAGGTCTGTTTCTCATTCATGTTACATATCAGCTGCTAATCACCTGTAGCTGAGCCGCATGTAGCTTCTTCAGTTGGAAATCCAGGCTGAAGAATCAGTTCCCTTCTGGGACAAGCTATTATTATAACAGAGAAAAAAAAGAGCAATGATAGTACATACAATATGTTTTAAAGCTTCTGGTCAAATGTGACATTGATCACTTCTACTTACATTGTGTTGGTCAAAGCAAATCACATGACCAAGCCTGCCATCATGGGAGCAAGAAGTAAACCCCTCCCAGAGGGAGGGCACTAGGGAGAAGCTCTAGAAGGCTAAATGTCATAGAGATGGGCGACACAGTACCTCTAAGTTGAAAGCATTGGTAAATGATTTGTAAAGTGTCTTATAGCCCCCAAATTACAAATTTTAATTCATGAGTTAGAAACAGCAGTAATTAATTGGGATGTAGAAATATTTTACCGAGAGATAGGAGGCTGGATAAAAGATGACTCAGTCCAAGAACAAGCTAAATTCCTGCATAAATTAGCTAGCATATGCATAGATTGTTTTTATCTTTAAATTTCTTTATTTCTAAAGAAAGGTCTTGTCCTCTTAAGATGTTTTATTTGACATTTTGAAGACTATATTAAATAAAACAGTACTTTAGATATATAGATGGTAATTTACAGCCAGTAAAGTACTGTTATATATGCCTGTTCCCATTTCACATGCCAAATCGGCTGTTTGGTTTGTTTCCCATGTATGCCCAATGCCTAAAACAGTACTAGCAATGGGTAGGCACTCAATACTTTGCTGGGGATGATGAGGAACTACTTTTGTACGAACGATATCGTAGATAATTATGGGGTGGTGAAGGACTGTTTGCCATTTCCTTTTTCCCCAGGGAAAAAAACTCGAGAAGAAATTACACATTCTTTTATCTAATGATGATAGAAATGACCAGCCAGGAAACCTGAAAAATCTCCTCTTTGAGAAGACCCAAACTATTTTATCTAATGTATCTGTGCCTATACCCAGCTCATATAGTGATAGGGAGAGTGAAATGAGATAGGAGGTGTTAAAGCTTTCAGAAAATTTCAAAATCTTAGTGCACATTCTAGGTGATAGTACATTAGGCCATTGTAAGTTTGATGCACCAACCAACATTTTTTCCAAGGAAAAAATGTGAAAATGTGTGAAGGCTAAGGACTTTCTATGTGACAGGCACTTTTCTAATAGCTTTACAGGTAGCACGAAGTGTTTAATCTTCAAAACAGCCCCCTGATGTAGGAATTATTTCAATTTTCAGATAAGAATATTGAGGTACAGAGAAATTAAGTAATTGGTACAAGATCTCTAGCTGGTAAGTGGAGAAGTTGGAATTTGCATGCAGAGTCTGACTCTAGAATTTGTAACAGGTGATTTCCATCTCTGTGGAGGTATTAATATAGCCATCTTTCAAATAAAAAAAATAATATGTTAGAAAGATTGTACTCATTTTGGAAAGAATGTAATGAATGTCTACCTGAGCCAGATAGTTTCATGTGAATTATCTAATTTACTCCTCAAACTAACCCTATGGAGGAAAGAAGATATTTTTCCCAGTTTACAATCAGGAATCTAAAGCATAGAGGCTTTACCTTGCCTAAGGTCACACAGTCGGTGTTCCATATGTAATTCAATTGAGTGCTCTGTCTCCAACATCAGTTTTTAAAAATGTTTTCACATGGTGATTATCAAATCTTTTCTACCATCCAAAACAGTGCAGGATATTTCATATTAGCAAGATAAGTAGCAAAAGAGTTTCTCAACTTGCCTCCTCTTCATTTACAGGCATGGAGTTTGCTTTTATTTTGTTTGTACTCAGAGATCCTTTGATGAAAGCCATCCAGGGCCATTTGTATTCAAGCATCTTTATGATCCCTGCTGGGTTTAGACATAGCTTTTAGTAATTCCTCCAAATCAATTCCTGCTGACCAACCTCAAGGGTCATCATAAAGTACTTAAGGGATTCTCATCTATTGAATCCTCTGATCAGGAAAACATTCTAACTCTTCTTTGAAAAAGAAAGGTAATTTTGTACCCTGCTGAGGGATAAGATAGGACTAAATTGTATTTGAGTGGAAAATGTTATTATCATTTGAGGGGTTTGATTACCAAAATAAGGAATGACTCCTAATTCTAAGATTGCCTTAAAGTATTATGGACATTTCAAAAAGTTTTTCCAAACCAACGGCACCGAATTCCTTGTCTTCAATTTTTTTCCACCACCCTCATTTCCCTGAATAGCTATCTGTTGTTTCTTGTTGGTTTCCTAGGAACCCCATTATGTTACTTAAGTTCACTGAATTCCAGATTATAAAAAAATGTTCTTTGTATTTTTCATATGCACTGAAAAGGAGACATGTGAGCAGAGGAGGTGAAGATGTGGCTATATTAACAACCAGTTTCCTACAACTTAGTGTAATGCAGTACAGTATGTCAAGAGACCTGGGCTGCAGGCACTAATTGGCAAGTGACGCTGACACTTAACCCTTTGGGGCTGTTTCCTGTATGTAGGAAAAGGGTGATCAGGATGACAGCTCTGTGAGAGCAGTGACGTTGAAGTTCTTTTTGTTTCTTTTTCTCCAGTACCTTGAACTGTGTAGTCAGTAGTAGTGGAAGCCATAAATACCTGTTGAACAAATGATTAAATGAATCGCTGAATAGATGATTAAGAAAAAATCCCAAGTGTGGTCTTCAGGATCCTCTGATTTGTCTTGTACCTTCTTTGTCAGTCTAATTTCCTGTCTGTTACTTTGGGCACATGACATACTCACAGATCCCAGATGATGCCAGTCTCTGCCTTAGTGCATGCTTTCTCCTTCACCTGCCTGCTTCCCTATCAAAATCCTTAATTATCATACAAAAGTCAATTCCAAGGCCACTTCTTCTGAGACCTTCCTCCAGCCTTCCTAAATGTACTTAAATCATTCTTTCTCCTGTAGAACTATGGGGCTTTGCTTATGGCCCCAGTAGAGCATTTATTTCTATAGATTGGATTATTCATTTATTCATTCTACAAATATTTATTAACATCTGCTATGTAACAGCCAATATGCTATGACTTTACATTACTCATCTCATTTGAATCTCACAGCAATTCAATGACTAGTCATTCTTCCATTGCAACACTATTTATTGAATGTAAAAGGTTAACAGGCCCTGTTGTAGGTACTTGGTGGGAGAGCAATGAGAAAGTTAGAAAACATTTCCACCCTTAAGGAGCTTACACCCTAATGGAGAGACACAAACCTGGAAACAAGTACAGAAATAAGTGAATAAGATGCTATGGATTGAATGTGAGGGTTTTCCCTAAACTCATCTGTTGAAATCCTAATCTCCACTCTGTTGGTATTGACAAGTGGGGCCTTTGGGAGGTAAATAAGACATGAAGGTGGAGCCATCTTGATGTGATTAGTGCCCTTGTAAGAAGAGACATGAGAGAAAAGATCTCTCTCTCTCTCTACCATGTGTGGGCACAGCAAGAAGACATCCATTTGCAAACCTGAGCCCAACCATGTCAGCACTCCGGTCTTGGACTTCCCATCCTCTAGAACTGTCAGAAATAAAGTTCTGTTCTTTACAAGTTACATATCCTATGGGAATTTGTTCTAGCTGCTCCAACTGACTAAGACACAAGATAATTCGAGATAATGGTAAGCCATTAAAAAACTTAAAGTTGCTGATACAAAAAGGAATGACAAGAGTAGGACATTAGAATTAATCTAGACAACACATTTCTTAAGGTCAATTTTGCTTCCTGTGCATCCATGCATTAGCCAACACCTTGCTCAATGACTTACATACTTTGGTCATTCAAAAATCTCAGTCAAATAGTGAATAAAACTTTGAACTCAGTAGTCTATGAGATCCCTTGCAACTTCCAAACTGGTAAGAATAAAAAATAAATACATAAGTAAATAACAGTTTAAAGTGTAAGTGTGAGGCATGAGGCCTGCCAAAAAAAATCCATGTCCAAAGAATATCTCAGCTAATCCTTGGGCGTGGGCAATAACCTAGTCAGCTCTGAATTTTCCCAGTCCAGTAGAGGAGAAGCAATAGTTCACCCAATCCCTATTTTTCCTTTCACTCTGGAATGCAGTTTATCCTTTTTTTGGCACCAAAAATACCTTTGTAATTGTATTTGGTTTGGATGAATATGGCAGTAAATTTGCATTCTCTAAGTACACAGATGTAACGGTACAAAAAATTATAGCAAGATGCAAAGAAGAACCAATCTGGGATTAAAATTTTGCTGTGCAAAGCCTAGTGTTTTCACTCATAAAACTGCTGATGAATATTGCTAGTGTAATAACTGGTCAAAGTAAAAGATGTTCCTGTTAACTGATGATAACCAAAAGTAAAAAGGAATTTTTAATGCCCATACGCATGAACTAATAGAAATTAAATTGCAGGATCTCTCATTTAATTACCATTTATCCTATTCCAAAATGATCCTCCCAGCCTGGAGGAGAAGACTTCAAGTTGTTTACTTGGAGGGATGAAGTCCTATGGACTGAGTCAGGCAGTTGCCCCCAGGAGGTCTCTTTCACTGATGTTAACCATGGTGTTTGGCAACAGTATTTTTTCTCTTTGTAAAGTTTTATCAGCTCTGTCATAAATTCTTAGGAATTTATGAAAACCTGTACTTAGCACAGTCTGAAACTCACGACCTGTGTGCTTGGCACTCAGTTCCAACAAGTTCACCTAATGGGCCCAGATAGCAAGCCTGCTTTGGAGATCCAAAATGTGCCAGCTGCCTTAGTTAGTTGCTAGTTGAGTGGGGAGTGGAAAGAGGAAGTACAAAGTCAAGAATATACGAATCTCCCCTTTTGTGAGAAGAGTAATTTGCAAGGGTATGAGTCCTATGCTTTTGTTTCAGACTTTACATTAACCATCTCTCTAGTTTAACCACATAAATGACTCTGGAAATCCCCTTAGAAAGAAGTCAGGTCAAGAAAAAGGTACTTTGAATTACTTGTTTTCATTTACATAGCTGTATAGTAGTAACATGACTCTTAAATATTTTATATTCAGTATGGCCCATAGTGCCAAATGATAATTATGATGGGTGGCAGCTCTGATGAATGAACACTGGTCCAGTGTAAGGATAAGGATGAATGTGTAGAGGGAAAAGGTGTCACAACGCAAAGTCACCTCACTAGGAAATACCCATATTTTTAAAAAGAATGGACAGCTTTTTTAATACTTTACAACTGACACTCCTGATTCTCTTAGAAAATGTTCCCGTTTACATTATAATCCCATCACTTGCTGAGTAACATTTCATGAGTGCTCTTTTTCATGGAACCGTACCAGCTGTGTTGACTGTGGCTTTGGCTTTTAGACTTCAAATGGTATTTTCTCCCTAAAGTCAGATCTTAGGAGTTTTAATTAGTAATGGAATAATTTGAGTTTTTAGAGATAATGATTTTAGCTAAGGGATTTTGGTGACATGGCCTTAATCTTCATACTGTTTGTAATTCCCATTTTCTCTAATTACTGGTTTTAATAATGTAACTAGCTTTTGGCCACCATGAAGAAAATCTATTTATATAACGTCAGTCAAGTACAGAGAAATTTAGCAGTTATTGGGAGTGTGAATTTCAGCACAGAGGCGTGAAATGGTTTGTTGAATTCTGAGCATGAAACAGTATTTCCTCTCTTAACCACAATAATAAAAACAAACCAAACAAACAAAAAAGAGTGCTTACTATGTACCAGGCACTGTGCTTGCAAGAAAATGAAAATATGAATCAGGTCAGTATTTCTTCATTTCAAACTTGTAATTTTCCTAAGGTGCAGGAATAATTTCCTAAGTCATTCATTTTAGCTTGGTATAAACAATCTTTAAGATTAGCTTAGCAATATCAAAAGTACAATCTTTAATAAATTTCAGACCACTGGTGAATTGAATCAGATGTTCTCTTTGAAATGCATTTAAGGAATTTATGAAAACCTGAACTTAGCACAAATCAAGAAGATTCGTTTATTTTATAAAAAGGATTATTTATAAAAGAAAAGAGGAATTATTCAACAAAGATGAAAGAGTACAGAGACTCAGCCACGGTTTCAGGTATCTGTGGCACTTCCTTAATAATAGGGCTTGCATCCTGTCTTTCTGCTTCCTCATCTTTTAAAGCTACTGTAGAAATGATGAATGAGATAATTTATGGAAAGTATTTCATATAGTCACCGGCATAAAATCTGTGCTCCATAAGTGGCAGGCGTTACTGCAAAATAATTAATCACAGAGTTTTTTTTTTTAATGCTAAACAACTAGTCACAAAATTTAAATCTGAACCTAGCTCTTCGGCAACAGATTGTAGAAATACTGTAGTATTTCTCTAGGTGTAAATTAAATGTTCACTTACCAAACACCATGGAGGTTGGTGAACCAACACCATACACCAAACACCATGGTATGACCAAACACCATGGAAGCTATTAACAAAGTAGTATTTTGCAATTTGCAACTTTCTGTGCAGCCCCTTGGTATGCGGCACCCCTCTCTCTATCTGCAAACACGCTGATCCTCTCTAGTTCTTGAATATCATTCTCATGACCCCTTTTAAATCAATGACCCCCTTCTCTTCTCAGCTTGCTGGACTGGGATTTGCTCTAATCTTTACTTACTATATCGAGAACAAATTCCCAAACTAGCCAGTTTTCCCAGCACCATTTATTAAATAGGGAATCCTTTCACCATTGCTTGTTTTTCTCAGGTTTGTCAAAGATCAGATAGTTGTAGATATGCGGCATTATTTCTGAGGGCTCTGTTCTGTTCCATTGATCTATATCTCTGTTTTGGTACCTGTACCATGCTGCTTTGGTTACTGTAGCCTTGTAGTATAGTTTGAAGTCAGGTAGCGTGATGCCTCCAGCTTTGTTCTTTTGGCTTAGGATTGACTTGGCGATGCGGGCTCTTTTTTGATTCCACATGAACTTTAAAGTAGTTTTTTCCAATTCTGTGAAGAAAGTCATTGGTAGCTTGATGGGGATGGCATTGAATCTATAAATTACCTTGGGCAGTATGGCCATTTTCACGATATTGATTCAACTGGATCCCTTCCTTACACCTTATACAGAAATTAATTCAAGATAGATTAAAGACTTAAACGTTAGACCTAAAACCATAAAAACCCTAGAAGAAAACCTAGGCATTACCATTCAGGACATAGGCATGGGCAAGGACTTCATGTCTAAAACACCAAAAGCAATGGCAACAAAAGCCAAAATTGACAAATGGGATCTAATTAAACTAAAGAGCTTCTGCACAGCAAAAGAAACTACCATCAGAGTGAACAGGCAAACTATAAAATGGGAGAAAATTTTTGCAACCTACTCATCTGACAAAGGGATAATATCCAGAATCTACAATGAACTCAAACAAATTTACAAGAAAAAAACAACCCCATCAAAAAGTGGGTGAAGGATATGAACAGACACTTCTCAAAAGAAGACATCTATGCAGCCAAAAGACACATGAAAAAATGTTCACCATCACTGGCCATCAGAGAAATGCAAATCAAAACCACAATGAGATACCATCTCACGCCAGTTAGAATGGCAATCATTAAAAAGTCAGGAAACAACAGGTGCTGGAGAGGATGTGGAGAAATAGGAATACTTTTACACTGTTGGTGGGAATGTAAACTAGTTCAACCATTGTGGAAGTCAGTGTGGCGATTCCTCAGGGATCTAGAACTAGAAATACCATTTGACCCAGCCATCCCATTACTGGATATATACCCAAAGGACTATAAATCGTGCTGCTATAAAGACACATGCACACGTATGTTTATTGTGGTACTATTCACAATAGCAAAGACTTGGAACCAACCCAAATGTCCTTATGTGATAGACTGGATTAAGAAAATGTGGCACATATACACCATGGAATACTATGCAGCCATAAAAATGATGAGTTCATGTCCTTTGTAGGGACATGGATGAAATTGGAAATCATCATTCTCAGTAATCTATCGCAAAGACAAAAAACCAAACACCGCCTGTTCTCACTCATAGATGGGAATTGAACAATGAGAACACATGGACACAGGAAGGGGAACATCACGCTCTGGGGACTGTTGTGGGGTGGGGGGAGAGGGGAGGGATAGCATTAGGAGATATACCTAATGCTAAATGACGAGTTAATGGGTGCAGCACACCAGCATGGCACATGTATACATATGTAACTAACCTGCACATTGTCCACATGTACCTTAAAACTTAAAAAAAAAAAAAAAAATTCCCAAACTAAGTTCAGTCTGAAGAAATCAGAAACTAACAAGTATAAAAATTTCCTTTTCTCATAATGTAGGAAGAAAAATGAACTTTTAAAAATATCTTGACACTAGCACCAAGATTACGTGGATGATTGATTAATGAATCCTAGCAGTTCTAAATTAAAACATTGTACTTGATTGTCAATAATGATAAATGAAAATGTTATAAAATTAACTCTTAAATCAGTGAAAATCTGTGTGTCTTATCTATATTTCTTATTAAAATTTATTTATTTAATTAAAGATATTTTTACTATAACAGAAAGCTCCTATCCAGGGCTTCTTGTAACTCTAAGAAACATATATTATTAAATTTCACAGGCAAATTCTCTAACTTTGAGAGATATTCTTTGATTCTTGTTAATTATTGATTCTTAGACTCTTGATATCCTTGTATTAAATATTCTTGCCAATAAAATCTGGCCTCCTGCCAAGACCTTTACCATATTATGTGTAGAAGAGCTAGTTTGATGATGAGTCTGTAAAGAAAGTATACTTGTTAAGTTTTGGTTGGGCTACAGAGTTTTATTGATTCTAAGGGTTTTTAATTTTTGCTTTATTCTATTCCTGTAGACGTTAAGACATTAGTGTAATATCATTTCCACAAACATTGTTGGGTCTGCATGCCAGAAAATCAGGTACTGAAGCATCAAAAGCCTTTATTCAAAAGGATCTCCCTGTAGAGTAATCCCAGGACACAGGCCTCCAAGTTTGGCTTTATTTGGATTTCCCTCAGTGGGTCATGAACAGAGCAGAGTGTCATGAACAAACTTAGAATTTGTTGAAAGAATGGATGTTGATCATGTGTTTGTTCATTACTGTTTTTTTTTTTTTTTTTTTTTTTTTTTTTTTTTTTTTTTTTTTTTTGAGACGGAGTCTCGCTCTGTCGCCCAGGCTGGAGTGCAGTGGCGGGATCTCGGCTCACTGCAAGCTCCGCCTCCCGGGTTCACGCCATTCTCCTGCCTCAGCCTCCCAAGTAGCTGGGACTACAGGCGCCCGCCACTACGCCCGGCTAATTTTTTGTATTTTTAGTAGAGACGGGGTTTCACCGTTTTAGCCGGGATGGTCTCGATCTCCTGACCTCGTGATCCGCCCGCCTCGGCCTCCCAAAGTGCTGGGATTACAGGCGTGAGCCACCGCGCCCGGCCTCATTACTGTTTTATGAATCTTAACAAACCCCTTTGTCTTTCTTTTGAATGCTTAGAGGTGTTTCTTTTGAAATTCAAAAGCATTAAGCATTTAGAAATTCAAAAGCTCTAAGCATTAACTCAATCAAGAAGCACAGATACAATTAGGAGAGGGATTTCTTTATTTTCTGCCTCTGAGAAGTGAATATAAAGCAGCAAATAGAATAAAATTTTTCAGAATGACAGAAAATACACTGACAAATGTCTTTTAAAACTTTCCCCAAATAAGTCATCCTTAGTAAGTTAAAGATTGTTTTATTTGAAAGCTTTTTAAAAACTCCCAAGTAACTGCATATGTTTTAAGTGCTGGTGAAACACATCCCTCTAGCCATGAATAGTTTATGGCTTATCTACTCAAATAAAGCATAATCACCTAGGATAAAAATGAACAGCCACCCTCCGTGAGATCCAGGAACAGGTGGTACAACTAATCATCCCAAATGTTTGAAGTATTGGTCTGTGAACAGCTGTCTGCAAAGACTTAAAGGACAAGAGTCTCTAGCTCCACGTGGTATCAAGGGACAGGAGAGGGATTTCTTTGGACATCCATTGCTGGTGCTCAGTACGTGGTTGAATATGTGCAGGCTTGCTCTGCTGAATGAATGAGTGGATTGTTTGTTAGCTTGTAATATATCAACTGTCCTCTCTGGCATGGGCCCAAGATATCCAATGGTAAGGAATCTGAAAAGAAAGTTTCTCTGGAGAAACCCTTTCTGAAAATGGAAATTCCCACTCATATCTTATTCTTTAATAGCAAGGATTGTTGTTGACAACATTTATTACCTGTAATGTTATTATAGCCCCAGCTATATTTGCTTTCAGCCATATAGCACAATTCAGTGGGTAAATTGTTCTCAAATTGAGCCTGACAAATGCCTGACTGACCCTGAGCTGATGGTTCATTGCATGTTTTCATAGCTGCTTTTAAAGACATTAAAAGTTTGTGTTGTGTTAGCCATGTTTTAGTAGAGCCAAATGTGACCATGCTAGAACGCTTTGTAGTCCAGTCTTTGAACAATTCTCTTTTAGCAATTGGTGAGAAACGTATCTACAAGAACACTTTTATTTCCTACCAGGGAATACATGGGTGACACCATTCAATAAATGATATCATAAATGTTGAATAATTCCTCTTTTCATTTATAAAGAATCCTCTTTATGAGATAAATAAACCTTCTTGATTTGTGCTAAGTACAGATAAATGATTTGTGATCATTTACCCCTAAAGTCTTGTCTGTCATATTAATATGTAATATGTGTACACACATCCAGTCCATTTTTTCTTTTCCATTGTAGTTTTAGAAATTTACTGTTTTACTAAAACTAGATGTTTACTATGACATTTTAAAACATGTGTACAAAAAGAAGAAAATAAGAATATGTCAGTGCTAACCAATATCAACATTTTGTGAATACTTTTTCAGTCCTGCTTCATTCATATATCTGTACATTTTTTTCTAGCAATATTGTATGATATGGAACATACTCTTGTATAAGCTTTTGATTTATGAGTTCATTTTATTTTAAGGATGTTAACTGTTTACCTGTTATATCTGTTACAAGTGTGTTTACTAGCTTGTCCTTATGGTTTTACTTTTGTTTTTGATCTCTTTTAGATTTATATAACATTTTGTATATATACATTTTGTATGTATACATTTTGTATATATACATCTTGTATGTACACATCTTGTATATATACAAAATGTTATATAAGGTGTATCGATTTTTATGCTTTCTGACTTTAGCATTTATGCTTAGAAATATCTCTTCCACACTACACTTACATAAATATTTATCTGTGTTTTCATGTAGCACTTTAAGATTTTATTTGTACACATCTCCCTAACTTTCGAGTCTGTAACACTTTTCTCATAGAAACCAAACTGTGCATCCTAAACTATTTAGAAAGTGAAGATTTGAGAATCATATCTATGTTCCAAAGCTTAATAGTAAAATGCAGAGAATGAGGGAGCTTTGTTTCAAAATGCCAAATGATTAGTTTCACTGCCAAAATATAATTATGAACTATTTTAATGTGAGGAGTTAAGCTGAGGATAAATTATTTTAATGGTATAAATTAATTTTATTAATTAAGGCAATGCAGATTGAGATGTTTATAATTATACAATGATATATAACATTATTTGGTGGGTTGGAAAGAGCATGTAACTAAGAGATGCACAATAGCTAATTGGGTCCTAGTCCTAACTGTAGTCATAATTAGTTGGGAGATGCTGGACAACTCATTTGGCTCTCTGAACTTCAGTTTGCTCATATCAGACCCCCAGATGGTCTCTATAAGGTACAGTAAGGTACACACAGCATCACAGTGCTAGATTCCCTACATGGACTATAGGACCAAAGTAACTAAAACATCAGCTCCTTTATTTTAGGATGGAAGATACTACAGTTCAGGAGCAGGAGGTGAGGAAGTCAAAAGCTGTGTACCAGCCTCTAGGAGCTAGTAGAGAGTTATCTCCTCTTAGAATAATAAGACATTGCTTGAAAAGCACTTATGTAAGTTTTCTATACCAAAGAACAGAAATGTTTTCTTTGTAAACTAAACTGTTAATATAATTTTAAATGATTATTCACTGTTTGTTCTATTTTAGCATTTCTTAAAGTAACGGTAAGGGCACTGTTCTGCTGAGAGCACCCACAAAAAGGAGTTTGTTTTGCATTTGTCTGGAGGTTGAAAATCAAGCAGTCTGCTCAGGATAATATTAAGGGTATATAACAAATAGTATGGCATAGGGACCAACCAGTCAGAATGGACACTGGCTGTAAACTACTGGCTTGCTACTAGCAAGTAGCAGCTGATCATTATCCTTATGTATACACTGGGAGCCAGAGAAATTGGAATATATACTAAAAACTCAGCTAGAAACTTGGAATAGAGTAAAGAACAAATAAACAGCATCTTTGCCATTCCGGAGTGTGATTTCACTTGAGGAAAGAGACAATCAACAATAAAACAAACATAAAATTATTTCAGATAACCATAAATGCTTTAAAGAAAATTAAGCAGGTTAAGTAGATAGAGTGACCAAGAGTGGGAGTATTTTAAATAGAATGCTCAAAGATGTTAGATATTTGAGCAGAGAACTAAATGATGAGGAGCCAGCCATTGGAGCGTTTGGGGAAAGTGCATCCAGGCAGGGAACAGCAGTGAATTAAACCTGAGGGGAGAAGAGGCTTGTCGTGTTATTTGCAGGACTGAAAGAAGGCCAGTGTAGCAGGAGTGGAGGTAGTGGGAAAGGTAGGTTATCAAATCAGAGGACACCAGAGGAAAGAAGTTCATAGAGGCAAATGGTAGTCAGATCTTATTTTGCCAAATTCTAAGAGCAATGGAAAGCTATTGGAAGGTTTTAAGCAGACGACAGAAGTGATTTGATTTACCATTAAAAGAGATAATTCTGACCCTAGGGGAAGAGCTAACAGGCAGTTGGGAAACTTGCTGGTTTCTAAGTGGACTTAGGAGGTTATGGCGGAAGAGATGAGAAATAATCATATTGTGGATTTAGCAGGTGAATCCTCCCTATTGCCAAGATTCTCCTTTCAGGGCTAAAACCTTGGAGGTTCGGTGTTTTATTTTTATAAGGGATGTCATTCCTTTTTATAAGCTTAATTTAAATATGTCATCTATAAGTAATGGTAAACTTCTGAAGTAACACAAAAGTTGGTTTCTTTTCAGTGTCTAACATTTGTATTGCTAAGAGAAGATAAAGTTATGTTTTATCTGGGACTTAATGAAATCTTTTATCATTTGCTCTTATTAAAATTTCAAACTGGAATCCTGTAGCCCAGACAGTGAAGAAGCTAAAAGTTCTTGTGTAACATTTGTTTAGGGGCTTGTGCACCAAAGTCCCTTTCTGCTTAAAAAAATCTTAGCAAAATATTTTTACCATGTGTCTATGCAAGGAAATGAACTGAAATCACAGAATTTACTAAGGATAGATATGAAATCTAAATAACTAAGGCTACTTCAAAGGGTGTCCTCATAGAACCACCCACCAGCACTCAGCTTCAACTATATGCGTTTCCTGCTCTGTTGATTCCCCTTTTGGAAACTGTTTCATCGTTTTTCTCCCCATACACACATTATCCAAGGCAGCTGTAACACTGTGGAAGGTCACCAACCACACAGTTTCTACTTAGAAATGAGCTTTGGTGGCCTTAGCTTTGCCAGAAAATGGGTACATGATACAGAACACATCATCTATCTCTCTAAGCATTCATTTTCTTATTTATTTATTTATTTATTTATTTTTTCTTTTGAGACAGAGTTTCGCTCTTGTTGCCAAGGCTGGAGTGCAATGGTGCAATCTTGGCCCACTGCAACCTCCGCCTCCCAGGTTTAAAAATTCTCCTGCCTCAGCCTCCTGAGTAACTGGGATTACAGGTACATGCCACCACACCTGGCTAATTTTTTTTTTTTTTTTTTTTGTATTATTAGTAGAGATGAGTTTTCACCATGTTGGCCAGGCTGGTCTTGAACTCCTGACCTCAAGTGATCCACCTGCCTTGGCCTCCCAAAGTGCTGGGATTACAAGCGTGAGCCACCACTCCTGGCCAGTTTCCTTATTGTTTAAATAAGGAGATTGGACTAGATAATTCTAAAACTATTTCCAGTTCCAAGATTTTAAAACTGTCCCTCTTCTGATTTTAACACATGGTCAACATAACCCTTTACTTTGTTGAATTGCATTTTTGTGTTGATACTTCCCAAATCTATATCTCAAGGTCACATGTGGTCCATTCTCTCTCATGCGGTCCATTCTCATGTAGCAAACTTCCCCCCGAACATCTCCATCTGTACATAGTGTAGGCTTCTCAAACGCACTATGCCCAACATGACTCATAGTTTCCCCAGTAAGTTGTTTATTTTTCTGTATACTTTCCTCACCTTGTCTAAGCATTGCTTTCCCTTTGAGTCTTCTACCCGCGTTTTCTGCAAGAAGCAACTATTTATCTTCCAAGACTCTACTAACAAATCAGCTTCCTATGTGAAATTTTTTCAAGCCCACTTTCTCCCCAGGTACAACCACCTATTACTACCTTCCATGGCATGCTGAGTAGACTGGTATCAGAGCACCCACATGCGTTTACTGCACGTGTTTATTTGTGTGTTTACGTTTCGAATTCCTTGAGGGTAGGGATAGTTTTTATTTCCTCATGATCCTACCCACAGCTCAGAAAGTATTAATAGCAGGTGATTAACAAATATTGAATGAACAAGGGAAAATGAAAATTCTGTAATGTGAGGATTGCTCCTGTCATTACCATACCTGGCATATGTCCTCCACCAATAGTCTCATCAAGGAATGGAGAAGCCACTGGCTCTCTGGCTTCTTGCCTAGTCTTATGTGCTCACCGACTTATGAAGACTCATATAAATGCCAGCCTTCATTTGATTATACACATCTTCCCGCTGTGGGAATTCAGTGTCCTTTTAGTGTCTATTCTGTTTTGCAGAGTGCAGATACCACATTTCCTGCTTCTTTTCTATCTTCCCTAGGATTAAGATTAGAATAACGAGGCCGGGCCCAGTGGCTCATGCCTGTAATCCCAGCACTTTGGGGGGCCGAGGTGGGTAGATCACCTGAGGTCAATAGTTCAAGACCAGTCTGGCCAACATGGTGAAACTCCATCTCTACTAAAAATACAAAAATTAGCTGGGTGTGGTGGTGCACACCTGTAATCTCAGCTACTAGGAAGGCTGAGGCAGGAGAATTGCTTGAACCTGGGAGGCAGAGGTTGCAGTAAGCCAAGATCACGCCACTGCACACCAGCCTGGGTGACAGAGTGAGACTCGGTCTCAAAAAAAAAAAAAAAAAAAAAAAAAGTGACTAAAATAATGATGTCTAGTCGGTTTCTTTCTTTCTTTCTTTTTTTACTTTAAGTTCTGGGATACATGGTGGTTTGTTGCACCTATCAACCCATCATCTAGTCAGTTTCTAATATTTGTTCATTTTTTGAACCCCGCATTTGACTCGGTTCTCTCTCAGTAATCAGCTGAAATTTTATTAAACACAGGAAATTTATATATAAACCAGCCTCATCATAACCAATTAACAAATGTACTTCCAGCTCCTCAAAATGTTAATGAAATTTACACCTGATACTAAGCTCTCATTCAGTAGGTATACTTGGATAAATAAGCTGTCAGACTAGAGTGGCTGAACATTTCTCAGCATCCTCTCAAAACACCTCCCACTCCTCGGTAAGGCTGGAAAATATTTGCTAAAGTGATTTATTTTAGCAAGGTCAGAAAGCCATCTGTGGATTGTAAAAATGACAGAATTAGTTTTCCTTCCCTTAATGTTTTTTAAACTTCCTGGTGCTGTAGTAATTAACATGGAGGTCACATACAAATGGGAGACAAGTTTGCCTTTTAAGAGAAGTTTTTTCTGTGTGATCTATTGCTATCACACATCCACTAAGGCTTATCTGAGATAACTAATGTTTTCAAGTCTGCCCTTGACCTTCCTTCCCCAAATGGGCAGTACTTAGTCACTACCAGTCATTTTCTTCCCCTGCCATCCTTCCTTATATTTGTTGATATAGTCAGGAACAACCCCTTGGAAGTTAGTGTATCGTTGAAAAGATCACCAATATTTTGGACCAGGTCAGCAGGCAAGATTGAACATAATGCGTAACCTAGTTTAAACCAACTATATGTCAATAATGATAATTATTATTATTCTTTATCAAACACTTTATTCAGTGCCATTGGTAATTACATAATTAATGCATTTAATTCTTAAAACAGCCCTATAATGTAAGGATTCCATACTAGCTGAGGAAAGGAAGGACTGGAGGGGTTGTCAGTTGTCTGTGGTCACACAGCCAGTAGATGGCCAAGTTAAAATTTGCATTCCTTCCTGTGCCTTTTCCATTTCACCAGTACTTACAAGAAAATGTCCATGTCTTAAATGAGAAGGGTTCTTGAGGAGATGTGCTTAAGACAAATGGTGACCTGTTCAGCAGGAATATAGCCCTATGTCTGTTGTCACTTAGTTGGAAAAAGATTCAGAAGGCTGAGATGTTGAAACTGTGCACATAATGAATTGAACAGAGGTTTGACTGACTCACAGATGTTTCTTTGCCTTCCAGGAAGATTTCCAACCCGCAGCAGCTTCAGAGACCAACTGGGAATCTGTCACAAGCTCTATTTCAGTAAGTAATTTATTACTCTGTTGCCAGCAAAAGAAACGGATGGAACAGCTAAGGTCAACCCCAAAAGGACTTCACCTGCATTAAGGACCTGTGGCTTGATCAAAAGCTAGATCTCAAACAGGATGTGTTTCTCCATTTCATTCAGGTTACAATGGATTATGTCAGAAACCCTTTTCCCTGTCTGTCAGAAATGTTTCCAGGAACTGCCAGTATAGCATGGTAGGAACTCACACTAGGTAATAACTTAAATATTTTTCATTTTCAGAGCAGAGCATTCCAATTAAAGGTCTGTCCAAACATATCAAACATATCAAACTAGTTCATGGCCCACACTCAAGTGGGGAATTTCAAAATAGCTTTCGAATATTCCTGGGGAAGACGTTAACCTTTGCATTTTCAAGGGTCTTTTCAGACTTGAAAAATCCCAATGTTTACAGTAAGATAATAAGTGCAAATCAGGCATGTATTCTATTTTACTTGGATATAAAACATAACTCACCCTGAAGCTGTAAAATGGTTCATGCTCCAGTTTTTCTCTAAACTTAGTCATTTCTCAGTATTCAGTCTCCTTATCTACTTTGCACAGAAAGAACAGACCTTGTTTTCACCAATCCTATGTGTGGCACTTATGTAGCAATAAAATACAAGATAATAAATGCAGTTGTTTACTAAAAGGTCAAGAACATAGAGAAAGCTTGCCCATGGTTCTGAGTAGGTCCGTGTGGCTGAGTCAGAGTTGTTGTTTTTTTTCCTAAAATTGGTATGTTATCTTTTGCTCTCTGGAGGATTTTTTAAAAACTCTTTCATATGGCAGGATTCCCTCCACTATGAATTATGTGGCTATTTAATTCACCTGGTATGGATGCTGGACTAGAACCTCATCTGATCAAAAGATTGGAGAGATCTTTGACAGTGATAATAAGTGTTTTGTGTGCTTTCAACAGTCCAGAATACATGCTCTGAACCTAACTTGGTGTAGGCAATCATTATCAATTAGATGAAAGTCAACACAAGGCAGATATGCTGAAGAGGTGCTCAGGCTAAGCAGGAGGGTCACAGTAGAGGCTGATAACTCAAGGCAGACACCAGCAGTTTTTGCAACCTTGACTGAGGGTCATGGGATGCTGCAGCTTCTCAGGCACCTTCGACATGATAGCTCAGGGTTGTCTAATGATTCTTGCTCCAACCACAGAATTACAAGCCTTAAAGGACCTTCAACAAATTAAGAATAACCCAGGTCCTTTAAAAGAGAGGCATTGTCTCATCCTTTTGGAGTATCTGGGGAAGTTCCCTGGGTCCAAATCCACTGCAAAAGCTTCTCGTTTGAGTTTCAAGTCTAGGTGCTGCTTAACTCTCTTGTAAGACCAAGCTAGTTTCTTTACTCAGCACTCCATTGTTCAAGAACTTTCTGGAGCAGGAGCAGGGGTCATTGGACCTACCATTGACTTCTGTTTAAACCATACTTTGTTTTTGTTGAAAGTGGTTTTGCATTTCCAGAGCATTTCTTTTTTACAAATTGTTATCATTTTAAATTAATGCAGTTAACTTCAGAATTGATTTTTATAAATACGTGACAAAAGCTGAATGAAATCATATTTACTGTTCAGCTGAAGGAGACACATTAAATTAGTTCTTTTTCTCAAAAATAGTTTTAAAATATTTACCTCAGAAACCAAAATGTTCTTGTAGTCTTATTAGGTCACCTCATCATTCATAAATATTTCCTCAGCTGTCGTTGTTGTTTCTGTCAACTGCCCTAAATCAAAACTTGAAAACAGCAGTAAAGCTCATACATAGGGACATGTTTGCATTTTACCTATGGTTTGGATTGACTCTTCAGCCTCATGTTAGAAGAGATTAAATTTCCCCCTCCCTTCTAAGGGACTGAGAGTTCCCCACAGCTTTCTCTGAGAGAGATGTCTGTGTACACACTACATTCTAGGCACTGCTGGGAGCCACCCTGGAGAACTCCATGCAGCCACTTTCCCCAGAGCTGTCACAAGAAGCTTTCACTGGCGTGGGAATGACTTGATCGGTGTCCCTGTTTTTATTTCAAAAATGAGGGAAGCATTTTAATTTCAAAGATTTTTTATGTGCTGCCATGCTTCTAATTTCGTCAGCTCATTTTGAGTTTTGTGGTTCTTAGAACCACACTATTGTGACACAAGGCTGCTTGTAAACCATCTGGTGCATGTTAGCCAGATAGACTGTAGATTATCCGACAATACAAGTTAATGGCGATTTGGAATTATAGTCCTGAATTATAAGTCTTCCACCTCTAGCATGTGACCTCAAGAGAGATGTGAAAGACAGAAATGATGTGTGTCAGTCAGGGTTCAGCTCGTATCAAGCAGACACACACAGACACAGACACCCACACACAGTCACGTAGATTAAAGGGACAACCTATCAGAAACAGAAGGAACAAATATGGCTGCACCCAGATGAGAGCTATATAATATCAACAATATGACTGTAGAGGACATCTTTAACATGGCTTGAACTGTGATTAAATCTCTGGATTCTTCCGTAATGTATGACAAAGACCGTGCCTCCAGATAAATGATCATTATTACCTGGATACACCTGAACAGAATACAGAGTGGACTCATAAGGTAATGAATGTAGCATGGCAGGAAAGGTTTGTTCAGAACTTATTTTAACAAGGATGACTGAAAATTAGATGTATGGTTTCTTGTAAAAGAAAAAAAAAATGGAGCTGGCCTGACACATTCATCGGTCTATTTCACCCTCTCACCCAACTCCCTTGACTCCCTTTTCCCTACAGGGAATATTTGAAAACTGCTCCTGAGTTATACCAATGGTAGATTAATGCTTTAAAGCCTCTTACTTGTGTGAAGAGGGACTGTTACTCTGAGAGCAGATGATCATCAAATCACTTAGCAACCTTTGGACCTTGATTGGTTAAAGAGAGACAACATTGCCTGAGAGTAAGGTTATAAATTGTGGGCTTGGCTGTCTGGGACTCAATAGCACATAATTTTTCTTGATTAGATACTACAGTCAAATCTTAGGAAAGCAAGTTTTCATTAATTCCTATTTTCCCTTAGTGATAGGAGATATTTGCCTTTGGGGAATCTTATTTGTTTGGTAGTTTCTTTAAAGACATTTAAAAATCATTTGAGGCTGTATGCTCTCTATTTCCTTGTTAATGGGTCATGAATTTTAACAGAGATGTTTGAATCATGGCTCATTTACCTCTAGATTGTACAAGGGTTAGTGAAGTAAGTGCTTGGAAACCTCATGTGCCATGTATTCCATGGCAAAATACATAATCCTTTCCAGGCTTTCAATGATGTTGTGTTTCTCATTTAAAGAGTCTTCCTGAGAAGTTTTAATGGCAACTGGGATCACTAGCAAACTATAGCACTTTAAAAAAATATGTTCCCCATGTGAATCCTCTCCTTTTAAGTCAAGAGAGCCAATTTCATGGCTAATTATCTTTGTTGACAGTAAATAAGTTGGTGAAAGTGCTAAATTTTATGAAAATGTCTCCAGAGTAGATTCGTACATTGCTCACACATCATCTGCAATGCCAGGTGACCTGTAAAGGGGGAATGTGGAACTTAACAGTGGGAGAGTGGAATTAATTATCAAAACTAATGTGGAAGGAGTTTGAAATTTTGATTCCCACTATTATTTGTTGTTATGTGGATGATTTGGGACCATGAACCAAGAAACTGGATAACTTAATTTTATATATTTCTATCTCGTTCTATATTTTTAGATGATTACACTTAAGATAAACTGGAAGTTTTCTGATCTACTTGGATTTGATTTACAAAAAAGCGAATGTTATCTTTTTAGTAATTAATTGATTTTTATCCAAGAATATGGCAAGACAATACCATGTTGTTTTTACATAGCATTCAAACGTATGATGTCTTATACTCAGAAGCCTGTTTATGTTCCTTCCGTATAGTTGAATGACTGTTGTATTTCACAGCAATGGACTTATTCTGAGTACACTGAGCTGTATGTCACTCTTAGGGGGTATCCTATAACTCTCCATCAGTAACGGATCCCACTCTGATTGCGGATGCTCTGGACAAAAAAATTGCAGAATTTGATACAGTGGAAGATCTGCTCAAGTACTTCAATCCAGAGTCATGGCAAGAAGATCTTGAGAATATGTATCTGGACACCCCTCGGTATCGAGGCAGGTCATACCATGACCGGAAGTCAAAAGGTAAGAGACAGACACTTGTACATTCTTCATAAGCACATAGAAATCTTAACAGTACAAGCTGAGTATCCCTTATCCAAAGTATTTGAAACCAGAAGTCTTTTGGATTTTGGATGCTTTTTGGATTTTGGAACATTTACATTTATACTTGCTGGCTCAGTATCCCTAATCCAAAAATCTGAACTCCAAAATGTTCCAGTGAGCATTCCCTTTGAGAATCATGTTGGTGCTCAAAAAGTTTTGGATTTTGGATCATTTCAGAGTTTAGATTTTTGGACTAGGGACATAACCTGTAATAATGAGTAAGGATTAGCAGTACAATATATTTAACTCACTTAGATCAGGTGGTTACTATCAGTCCATTGTCATGTTTCACAGCACTTTCAAATGAAGTTCTGCATTTTGCCCAAACTGTGTTTTTTTTGCATCAGACTAAGAAGGGTTTGGTCCCGTGAAAGATATATAGGTCATAGTTTGGAGCTGGATGAGATCTTATAAAAATTATCTGAACCAGCTTCTTATTTTTTGGCAAGCAAGGCATTATTAGCCCCAATTTTACAGTGGAGACAGACAAGTCAGAGGAAGTAAGTAATTTGCCAATGTCTGTGTGGTTAGTTAGCAATGAAGAAGAATGAGGATCCTGGTCTCTTGCCTACAAGAACAGTGCTTGTGTAATTGATAGTTTTGCCTCTCTGATAGGTGTGAAGATTGGTTTAGTCCAGGGATGTCAGTGTTGGCAGGAGAGAACCCTGTTAAAGCAACAGCCAAAACTTTGTTGGAAAATTTCAATTCTACCTTCTAGATCTGATATCTGCTTGGTGCCTGGGTGGTTTATGTGCTCGAGATATAAATGTCTCAAGGCAGAGGAAAAGAAGGTCTGGAATAGTTTGGAGATGTGTGAGAGCACATATTCAATTAGAAACTTCAGGAAAGTACAATAAGGGGAGAACCGAGAGGAACATTAAGGCAGAGAGAACATCATGAGTTAAAACAATGCTTAAACTAAAAAAATAAATATCCAGGTCTTACATCTGAGTGATATGATCTTAGGATGAGAATGTTTATTGGCATGTAAAACTCCAATTAATAAAGATATGAAATATAGTTGCCTCTTATTGAATAAAACAGTTACTTCTAGTCTGTTATGTCCTTTCCTTATTTGATAAGGTTTGTTATAATTGAAATGTTCCCTAAAAGGTCTCGAAAGGCTGGTTTGCATTGTAGATATAAAGGTATTTCACCAAGATACAGCTTGTTTCCTGCACTTTGAAATATTAAGAATACTTTTAAGAACTGTGAACCTGGGCTGCTTTAGCACAACCATTTATAACATTTGGGACAAAATGACTAATTAGTTAACTCCTGCCTGGGCCTTCTGCTTATGGCTTAGCTAAGAGGGGGACAAGAAAGTCACTGGTGGCCCTGGTGTTATGGAGATATGCCATGTGCAGATCACTATAGCCCTGAATCTCTCCAGGGCACAGATTGGATTCAATTTAAAGAAAAAATTGCTTTTCTGTAAGACATTGCTGTGTTTGGATCTCTACTAGGTCAACTTAAAAGAAAGTAAAATATGCACATATTTTGAAAACCCCAGAGGAAATTTTATATAAAAATAGTATTGGACAAACGAGCAATAAAAGCTGACTCTGTCTTCAGCAATTCAAGGGACAGCCCTTCTTGGCATCTTTTTTTCTGGAAATATTAAAATTTTGAAATCACCTAAATCCATTACTTTTTTTCCCCCTAGAAATTGTGTTGAGTTGGAGGCAGGAGGCCTGGATTCAAATTCTAACCCTGCCACTTACAAGTTTTGTGATTTTTTTTTTAGCAGGCACCCTGATCTCAGTTTTCTTATTGGCAATGTGTGTGCAATAACACCTACTTCTGGGGACTGCTTCTGGTGCCATCAAGAGCACCTGACACTTGATACGTGTTCAAAAATTGTTAGCTAGCTATAATGACTTAGAATTCTGAAATATGTTTGCATTACTTCCTTGGTGAAGCCTACCTTGTCCCTTATTCTGTGATGTAGTCCCTGTGATGTCTACCCACCCCCTAACCTGGTAAAGTTAGGAGCACTTAAGACACCACCTCATTTTGTATGTCCTACTGCTGCACTGTTATTGTACTGTTGTGTTTCCTCTAAGAGGATCTGGGATCCCAGCACCTCCTATGGTTCTCCACTCTGGCTGAATATTTAATACCTGAGGGAGCTTTGAAAAACTTCAGATGCCTAGTCCCACCCCAGATACATTGACTCAGAATCTCAATGGGGTGAGACTGGGATATATATTGATATTATTTATGGTTCCTAGGAGAGTGATCCTTAGAGACAGCCAGTGTCAAGAAACACTACTTTAGAGATTGTTCATCCTGTATCTGCAGTACTTGGAACAGTCTCTGACATATTTTAGATGCTCAATTAATGTTTGTGGGATGGAATATATTACTAATCCAGTGTTAGCCTATTTCTAAAGTTTATAGAAACCACCCCATAGACTGGAGAGGGTAGCTTTATTAAAAATGTCTTTGGTTACCGAAATAACCTTGCAAGAGCATTCAAGGTGACATACTACTTGATGTTTGTGACAAAGTAAACATCGTCTCTCTCCCCTGCTGGCTTAGGTTGCATTTCTTAATCTCTTGTTTAAAATGGCCCTAAGGCATTTTTGTACCATTTAATTTAACCCTGGCAAGTCACCACTGTCTCTGCTCTTGTATAAATGTGCTGATTTAATTATTTATCATTCCATTGATGCTGAATCACCTGCATGTATCACAAAAACAAGGGAAGTCAGGTTTAATATTTCAGCTGGTATTTTCTGCTTTGAGAACTTAAAAATACAAATTCATGGCTTGTATGCCAATGTATGAGGAGGGGAGCAGTGAATAAACAGTGAAAACAGGAAAATAGCGATGGATAATGGAAGTCCATTAGGTGTCAAATAAAACTTTGCCTTTTCAGGATCTCCAAAAAGTCTCCTTCTATCAGTATAATAATTTCTTAATGATGTTGTGCAGAAGCAAGCTCATCATTTATGAATATCTTTTGAGCATCCATTCTTCTGATTTGTCCAGACAGATGGAAAGTGGTATTTTTCATGATTGCAAAGAGCAGGATTCTAAGATGACATTTGAATGTGAATATACAAAACACAGAGTTTTATGAACTCTGAAATAGAATGCAGACACACTGAGTAAAGAACTTATAATGAATCAGGAATATTTAAAATATGAAGGTTCATATTTTACAATTAAATGATGTGTTTTGCTTCTTTTTATTTAGTAGAAGGGAGGTGAGGTGGTAAGTGAGCTTTTTGTTCTCTTCAAGAAGAGTTGAAAATGGCGAATGCAAAAGAACAGTAAAGTTTTGGTGAGGAAAGAGAGAGAGAGGAAACAGATAAAATTACCAAGTATTGAAACCAGGATGTCAACGCAATAATGTCTACATTTTTAAAATTCACAAGTAATAGATAAGCTCAAACTTGTCTGTAAAAGCTTCTGGAGTGAAGATAATATAACAAGTTAATATATTCAACTTTCAGTTTCCTAGGGGGTAATGGAGAAAAGGGTAGCGTATATAATTGAAATCTGTAGATAACTGTAGTTTCAAACCTAATTTTTGCCAGTAGTTTCAGCCTCATGCTTTTAACCTCAAAGCTGCCCAGAAGTTAATTTTTTAAAAATCAGTATTTTAAGTTCAAATTGCATTTACTTTTTATGGTAGATATACTAATAATGAGTATCGGAAGTGTGCATAAAATTAAGTGAAATTATATGGGTGTTCTTTCTGTAAGCTACATAAATACTCCTTAAATTGCTGCATTACCACTGCAGTTTAACTAAAACTAAACTACAATTCATTGAAAACATATGCCTCCAGGGCAATCAGGCAGGAGAAGGAAATAAAGGGTATTCAATTAGGAAAAGAGGAAGTCAAATTGTCCCTGTTTGCAGATGACATGATTGTATATCTAGAAAACCCCATCATCTCAGCCCAAAATCTCCTCAAGCTGATAAGCAATTTCAGCAAAGTCTCAGGATACAAAATCAATGTACAAAAATCACAAGCATTCCTATACACCAATAACAGACAAACAGAGAGCCAAATCACGAGTGAACTCCCATTCACAATTGCTTCAAAGAGAATAAAATACCTAGGAATCCAACTTACAAGGGACATGAAGGACCTCTTCAAGGAGAACTACAAACCACTGCTCAATGAAATAAAAGAGGATACAAAGAAATGGAAGAACATTCCATGCTCATGGGTAGGAATAATCAATATCGTGAAAATGGCCATACTGCCCAAGGTAATTTATAGATTCAATGCCATCCCCATCAAGCTACCAATTACTTTCTTCACAGAATTGGAAAAAACTACTTTAAAGTTCATGTGGAACCAAAAAAGAGCCCACATCGCCAAGTCAATCCTAAGCCAAAAGAACAAAGCTGGAGGCATCATGCTACCTGACTTCAAACTACACTACAAGGCTACAGTAACCAAAACAACATGGTACTGGTACCAAAACAGAGATATCAACCAATGGAACAGAACAGAGCCCTCAGAAATAATGCCGCATATCTACAACTATCTGATCTTTGACAAACCTGAGAAAAACAAGCAATGGGGAAAGGATTCCCTATTTAATAAATGGTGCTGAGAAAACTGGCTAGCCCTATGTAGAAAGCTGAAACTGGATCCCTTCCTTACACCTTATACAAAAATTAATTCAAGATGGATTAAAGACTTAAATGTTAGACCTAAAACCATAAAATCCCTAGAAGAAAACCCAGGCAATACCATTCAGGACATAGGCATGGGCAAGGACTTCATGTCTAAAACACCAAAAGCAATGGCAACAAAAGCCAAAATTGACAAATGGGATCTAATTAAACTAAAGAGCTTCTGCACAGCAAAAGAAACTACCATCAGAGTGAACAGGCAACTTACAGAATGGGAGAAAATTTTTGCAACCTACTCATTTGACAAAGGGCTAATATCCAGAATCTACAATGAACTCAAACAAATTTACAAGAAAAAAACAAAGAACCCCATCAAAAAGTGGGTGAAGGATATGAACAGACACTTCTCAAAAGAAGGCATTTATGCAGCCAAAAAACACATGAAAAAATACTCATCATCACTGGCCATCAGAGAAATGCAAATCAAAACCACAATGAGATACCATCTCACACCAGTTAGAATGGCAATCATTAAAAAGTCAGGAAACAACAGGTGCTGGAGAGAATGTGGAGAAATAGGAACACTTTTACACTGTTGGTGGGACTGTGAACTAGTTCAACCATTGTGGAAGTCAGTGTGGTGATTCCTCAGGGATCTAGAACTAGAAATACCATTTGACCCAGCCATCCCATTACTGGGTATATACCCAAAGGATTATAAATCATGCTGCTATAAAGACACAAGCACATGTATGTTTATAGCAGCACTATTCACAATAGCAAAGACTTGGAACCAACCTAAATGTCCAACAACGATAGACTGGATTAAGAAAATGTGGCACATATACACCATGGAATACTATGCAGCCATAAAAAATGATGAGTTCGTGTCCTTTGTAGGGACATGGATGAAGCTGGAAACCATCATTCTCAGCAAACTATCACAAGGACAAAAAACCAAACACCGCATGTTCTCACTCATAGGTGGGAATTGAACAATGAGAACACATGGACACAGGAAGGGGAACATCACACACTGAGGACTGTTGTGGGGTGGGGGGAGGGGGGAGGGATAGCATTAGGAGATATACCTAATGTTAAATGACGAGTTAATGGGTGCAGCACACCAACATGGCACATGTATACATATGTAACAAACCTGCACATTGTGCATATGTACTCTAAAACTTAAAGTATAATAATCATAAAATTAAAAAAACAAAACAAAACAGAAAAAACATATACCTATGAATTTAAGGACAATGTATATTTATTCAAGTTCATAGCATAAAATTCAACATTTCTAAATTAAGAAATGATCAGCCCTGACTGGACATTAACGGAGAGGTGATTTATGGAGATAAACAATATAAGTAAGATCTGTTCTTTTTCTTATTCCAGGAGAACTTGACTTTCTAGAATGATAGTGTGTTCACCAAAGAAAAATCCAGGACATAATGGCAAGGAGGGAAACCTGTTTTCAAAGCTTGTGTTTTGATTAAAATATGAACAAAATTATTGGGGTGTTCCAAATTAATAGTTTTAAATTAATAATTAAAATATATTGTTCTCCAAAAAGTAATCATTTTTAGATACACATGCTAAAATTCAAATCCACTCCTCTTTTAAAAAGTGTTTTAGACTCGACACAGTGGCTCACTGCTGTGATCCCAACACTTTGGGAGGCCGAGGTAGGCAGATCGCTTGAGCCCAGGAGTGAGAGACCAGCCTGGGCAACATGGTGAGAACCTGTCTCTACAAAAAATACAAAAGTTAGCCACGCGTGAAGCATATACCTGTAGTTCCAGCTACTCAGGAGGCTGAGGTGGGAGGATCACTTGAGCCCGGGTAGTTCAAGGCTACCATGGGCTGTGACTGCACCACTGCACTCCAGCCTGGTCAACAGAGTGAAGACCCTGCTTTAAAAAAAAAAAACAAAAAACAAACAAACAAAAAAACAGTATTTTAATATTGAGTGCAGTAAACATCTTGATACTAAATTAGTTCCAAATGATGACGTTTGAAATATGTGATTTTTACAGACTCTAAATGGTTAGATGTTACAACTGTGGAACAGTTACCAACCCATTTCCAAGGATCTAATACCAATTCTATTATTTTCTCCATGACATTTTCCTCTAAAATCTAAAACATTTGACTCTAATTTGCAAATTATTTACAGGTAAATAACTAGCATAAGAAACTGAGAAATAAATGAAATAAATGTTTTATATCAGTATGTTTTCATTCGTTCTGAGTTCTCTTAAGTCAGAATAGGTTCTTTAAAAAAATTTTATCATTTATTGCTGTTTCTTTGTCATGCCACTGCATGCTAAACAGGAGGACACAAGTTTTGATTTTTCAAAAATGATTTCAAATGTAGGAAATTATTCAGAGAGCATTAACATATGAACATATTTTAGAAACTGAGTGCTTGCAATTTTCTCTGTCTGCCTATTTGATACTTGGGTTAAGAATTTGCCAAAAGCTGTTGGCCGACACCAGTGATGAGTCAGATCAGTCAGTCTTCAGATATCTGTAACTACATCTCTGTAAATTAAGGAGGTACTGGTGACATCAGTAGATAATAGACATTAATAATAACTTGTGTTGCTTATTAATATTACATTATTGTTAATAATAGTTTCTATTATTGAAAGATGGTTAGCTTCATTGAGTTTCCTGAACCATGTGGTATATTTGGTACCTTTACCAAGTGAAAGTTTTATTTATCAATATTAAAATTGTTTGGCATAAATTTAATAGAAATAGAGCAAAAGAAAGAAGGACGTTGCAATGGAAAGAGCATGGACTTGAGAGTCAAACTAACTTGTAATAAAATTCTAACTCAAATCCTAAAATCAGTAGCAGTGGCCTTGGAGAAGTCACTTACAGACCCCTGATTCTCTATTTTCTTCTCTTTGTAAAATGGCTCTAATTATAAGCACTTTGCAAATTTGTGTTAGGATTAGGTAATGAAAGAGTATCTAACACCCTCAATAAATGATAGCTACTGTTATTATTTGAATTGCTTGCAAAACTCTGCACAGAACCAAGATATTTCTATTAATTGCTCTGCTGTCTTCCCTATAAGGCTCTAAGATAACCATCAGTAATCTGGAGAGCCTCACAGATAGTATTTGGCAAATATTGTCTTATTTAATTATCTGTATAATCAGTGTACTCATTAAAAGTTTTCAAAATTATCTCCAAGTACTAAACTTTTCTGATACTATTTATCCAGAAATTTTCTGACACTATTTTGCTTATTGGATGTTTTTTCTGCTAAGCTTTTCTTTTAGAGACTTTTGCCACTGTTTATGACTCATATGATTTGTAAGTATCTAGCTGCCTCACTTACTCTGTTTGCCAGCAAGCATTCATAAAAACCATATTGTTGTTTATCATATTGTGTGTGTCTATGAGGGCACACACATGAAATATTTTAAGAAAATCTCAGCAGTGGGACAACTTTCAGTTGTTTTTCCTCCTGGTGCCTGTGCCACCTCTGCTTTCATCCTAGACGCAGTTGTCCGTCTTTGTGGATATCCTAACCCCACCCTCATTATCAAAGTTATTCCCCTCATCTAGGCATGTCATTCAAATGCAAATCAATAGGAAAAATCCAGTTGACAGTGGAAAGCCATAGGTAACTTTTAGCGTCGGATGAACAAATGTGCATTTTCCACTGCAATTACTCTTGTTAAAGAGAAATGTGTGTTCCTTGTGTTTGCTGTGCTAATTTTTTTCTGTGAAGCATTGGAAAATTATTATGGGATTGTTTTCCTTTATGCCCCACTAGACTTAAGGAGACACTACACTGCTCCTAGAGCATATATGCTTGTAGGCCCTGCTGGTGCTGAGAGATCCAACTCACTGAGTGTCTTTACTTGCTAATATAGTTATGCATTGTGTCCCCACCCAAATCTCATCTTGAATTGCAATCCCCATAATCCCCATAATCCCCACATGTCAAGGGAGAAACAAGATGGAGATAATTGAATCATGGGGATGGTTTTCCCCATGCTATTCTTGTGATAGTGAGTGAGTGGCACAAGATCTGATGATTTTATAAAGGGCAGTTCCCCTACACTTGCACACATGCTCTCCCTCCTGCCACCATGTAAGACGTGCCTTTGCTTCTCCTTCGCCTTCTGCCATGATTGTAAGTTTCCTTAGGCCTCCCAGGCAATGCATAACTGTGAGGCCATTAAACCTCTTTTCTTTATAAACTACCCAGTCTTGGGTGTTTCTTTATCTCAGTATGAGAATGGACTAATACACTTGCAAAGGATAGTGTTACGTCTGATGTAATCAAACTGAAGACACCTGATCATTGGCTTTTTGTATTTAGTTCAAGGTGGGCATGGCCTTCTATTCCTTAGTAATCACCAATTACAGAATCTCAGCTCCTTCTAGTTTTAGGTGCTTCTGATTTAAACTTCCTTCTTTGATCTGTGTTACTCACTTCAGTAATAATGTGGGCATACCTACTGAGAGGTAGGATTTAGACCTGTGCTTCAAACACTCAAAACTCATTTAATCTTAACAAGTTCCTTGGCAGGAGCTACTGTGATTCCCATTTTGCATAGTAAAAGAAAAAAATTCAGAAAGTTTCTGTGAGAGCTAGAAAATAGAGAATCATGACATGAACTTGGCCTTGTTGGCTGCAAAGCTCATGCTGTGAGCAACTCAATGGTGTTTAAAGCTCAGGGATTCATAGTCTAGTAAATGAGAACAAGAAATTTTAAGACCTTCATCTCCTAACTTGTTTTTTAAAAAATTTTTCATTTCATAGATATGCTTTATACATCACCCCAGGTCATGAATTCCCAGGGTTCAGAGAATGGCTTTATGATGGTGTTACTGCTTTCATGGCTAATTCAGTGCCTTCCAGATATTCATTCAGTCATCCATTGATTTTCCAGTACATATGTGCTGAATATCTACTTACGTCCAGTGGCTTTAGGCAAGTCACTTAAGTCCTCTGCAACTCAGTTTCTACATCCATCCAATGGGAATTGTAATATCTAAGATGAGGGTTTGCTGTGAGAATTAAATGAAATTTGATTTTGTGAAAGCATCTCACAAAGTGCTGGATACATAGTAGTTGCTCAGTAAGTTTGCATTCACTCGTTGCTTCACAATGCTTCTAAACCTTGAAAATCAGGAATTGTCTGATTAAGAATCTTTTGCTGTGATTTAGGTTAATTTGTGTAAAAACAAGTGGTAAATGTTTTTATTCTTTAGATGTTAAACCCACATGTGGAGTCACAAAATTCAGTGTCTTTCATAATTTTAAGTTAAAGTATCCTGATAGTCCCTCATTAAAACTTATAAAATAATTGTCCTTTCCAGATTTATTTGCACTTCTGCATTGGGATTGAAATGTGAAAACAGTTTTCATAATTATGTGCTGATTTATAGAAGAGGGATTCTGAAAATCACAGTGAGGTTGTAATATTCATAAGGATGAAGACTCCTGGTGAACTTATGAACCTTGAGAAAGGCTGAGAGCCCCTGGTTGTTTAACAAAAATAATACAATTATTCCTATAGTCCCCTCACCTCCCACCCCACCCCAAAGCATCATAAACCTGGTGCTGCAACATTAAAGGGAAATGTTTAGCACTTTTCATAACAGATTATGGCACTGTCTCCCATTTGACAAAGGCAATGTTCCTTAGCACCTTGATGTTTGCATCTGAGAACCAGTCTTCTCAAGACCATGCTCTACCATGTGTGCCACTCCTATATTTCACAGATCTTGGTGCCAGTCATCTCATGCATCTTGGTTCATCCTTGGCAGAGATGGTTCTAAATCCTAGTTTCTTAATTCTAACCTAACACTTTCGCACTACACCACATCCTAGACTAGTCTTGAGATAAGATCCAAACATTCAACATATAAAGTATTAATAATACTCTATGCATTCCTGAAAGATAGTTGGAATTGTTTCACCTTTGTGATAAAAAATTAAACTGAAAAAATCCATGGTTTATCTGATTCATTCAGGTAGTAATTATTGAGTGTCTATTTCTTGCAAAGGGAATCTGGCACAAAGACGATGTTGTGCTTCCTTCAGCAGCACCTTGCTCCTAATCGTTGAAGTCAAATGGTTTTAGAAGTGAGCTTGAATGAGCTGCATTTGGTCCTTACATTAGGGACAAAGTACTAGAAGAGAAGGGATAAAAAGATGATTAGCTCTCTACCTCCAACAACTTTTTTAGTTCAATAGAAGAGAAGCACCTGAATATGGATGCTTCTTAACTTTTGATGGGTTTACATCCCAATAAACACATTGTAATTGGAAAATATAGTTAAGTCAAACCACATTCAATACACATAGCCTACTGAACTTCGTAGCTAAGCCTAGCCTACCTTAAACATGTTCAGAACGCATATATCAGCCTATAGTTGGTCAGTATTATCTACCACAAAGCCTATTTTATAATAGAGGTTTAATAGCTCATATAATTTATTGAATACTTTACTGAAAGTGAAAAACAGAATGGTTTTATGGGTGCTCACCATTAACATACACAGCTGAAAGCACCATCAAAAAGTAAAAAAAAAAAAACTCATGTTGAACCATTGTAAGTTGGACTATCTGCAAAGAAAACAAAACAAGGTCTATGAAGTAAATGCTATAATAGAGGGCAGAAAAAGTGTGGTGAGTACATAGAGAAGGAGTCATAGGAGATGTAGAGTGAATATGCCTTTTGACTTGAGCTCTAGAAGATTAAAATAATATAGCAAGCTGAGATGCCAGAGAAAGCAAAACAGAAGAACAAGAGCATGGTTTTCAAAAACATCATGGCCCTACTTTGAGTGCTCATTCTCCACATGCCATCACCATGTGGTAAATATGCACTAGTATGTAGGCTGCTGCTGCATGCCTGCTAAGAGTTTATAAAGAACTTTAGCATTATAAAGGCTAGACCTTGTAACAACAATAAAATGATTACTGGTGCCAACATGGTGAAACTCTATCTCTAATGAAAATACAAAAATTAGCTGGGCATGTGGCACACACCTGTAGTCCCAGCTACTCAGAAGGCTGAGGCGGGAGAATTGCTTAAACCTGGGAGGCGGAAGTTATGGTGAGCTGAAATCATGCCACTGCACTCCAGCCTGGGCAGCAGAGCAAGACTCTGTCTCAAAAAAAGAAAAGAAAAGAAAAGAAAAAGATTACTGACTGTCTTCAAGGACATGCAGCAGTTTAATTGGATTCTCTGACAGTCTGTGGATGATCAAGAGAAAAAAGCATGTGATTCTACTATCAGAATAAAGATTGATGAATGGCCAGCACAGTGAAAGCCAACTGATAACTTAATGTTTAGAGACTGACTCAAGGAAACCATCCTCTTGTTGACCAAAACAAGCAGTAAATTATTGTGCATGTGGAGAACAAAGGTGCTTTCCCATGTTCAAAGTGAGGAGATTATTTTGTTTCATAATGAATTTTTGTATTCACAAAAACAGACTTACCTTTACATACCTTGATTTTGACCCAGTAAGGCACATTTTGGACTTCTGTCCACCAGAACAGGTAACTTGTATAAAATAATAAATATGTTTCACTTTAATAAGGAATAGATTTTTAAATTTTTATCTTAAGCTGATCACCACCCATGTTGTGCTTGCCAAGTATGTGAAATATTATATTGGTTTTATCTGTCCTACAGAAACTAGAATCTTTAGGATCCTGGCATTTGTTCCCACTGAGGACAAATCATTGCTATCAATCCATTCAGCTCCTAGATGAGGCAAGAAAGGGTTCAAGGAGAAATGAGGACAAAAGGAAGAGTGTGCATTGGCCAAAGTCCACTCGGTTCAGATAAAAGGACGAAATGTTTTATCACAATACCAAAGACAAAAGTAGACTCTGAATAGCTGCCTGGTTTATTAGTCAGAACTGAATAGGTGGATGAGGATACACAGCTGCTCGTGCTTGGGTATGTGTATTAATGACATTGTGAAAATGACAGGTTAGTGCCTATGGGTGCACCTAGGAAGCCAGGTCATTTGCACAGCAAGTGGTCCTCTGGTGGGAAGACTTCAGCATCGCTTGTGGAAGCTGCTCTCTGAACCCTCCTTCAAATCTTTACACTGGGCTCATAATGTACAAAAGGCATGAAGAGGCCTGGATTCAAACTCTGGCTCTACCACTGACTGGTTGTATGGCTGTGGACAAGTTTTTTTTTTTTTTTTCTTAACTTTTGAAAGGCTCAGTTTCCTCAACTGCAAAAGTAAGAGTAATGATTGTATGTAATTCATAGCATTTATGAGTATTTCATGCACTCATGATGAACACAGCACTTAGTAGTCTAGATGGCCAGGATCAAAAAGAACAGGTTGACTCTCCTTCCTCCCACACCTAATATTAGAAACTATAAAAGGGTGTGCATTCACATCCCCATTCTAGAGCTCAGATCCCAGCATTCTTATTACATCTCAAAGCACCTCTGTGATTAGGCTGCACCTAGAGGCAGGGCTGCAGAAGGAAAAGTGCGCCCCTGTGCACTGTGCAGCACCCCACACTTTACCAGTATGTCCAAAGGAAGTTTTTGAGGACAGGGGAGCCTTCCCAGCCTTTCCAGAAAACTGCCTGTATGAGGCCCAAAAAACTTAATTGATGTCAAAGAGCTTTGATAAAGCAAAACTAAAATTCAGAATGACAGAAAAAGAGGGATTATTCCATGATGTAGACTGGGATGAAATAAGGGACGTTAGTTGAAATTAGCGGGCCCTTGAATTAAATTTGGAACACCCTTGATGCTCTGAATGTTCAGCTATGGAGACTGATGCAGGAACAGAAAGGGCAGCCCCTCTCTCTCGGTTGACACCACTTGGCCTGTCTCCCTCCCAGAAGTCTCACTCTAGAATTCTCCTTCTAACCCAAGCACCAGAAACCTTAATTGCTGCTCAGCCTCTGTCTGGCTCCCTGCTCTGCTGCACTGGCTTATCAGTCTTCTTTGACTGGAAACTCAATATCCCCTGCAGAAAGTCTGCAATCACGCTTTGAAGTTATTTGCATCCAGTCAGAACAACCTTTCAGTTCTAATTCTAAATTGAGTGCCTCGGTGATTTCAATCGCCTGATATGTAGGGCAGGTGGATTCTACAGCAGTCACACTGGGTCACAGTTCTTAGTGACATTAGTGAATTGATGCATAAAACTGACAGAATTGTGAATCTCCTCATGGTGAGTAAGAAATGAAAGTAACCAATGCTAGTCAAAGAGTTATACAATGTGAGGAGTTTGGTTTCAAATAGAATGAGGCTTACATGCCTTCTCCTGGTTTGTGGAGGGCACTTTGGAGTTTATTGGAATTCCTATAGGGAAGGCATGCTGTACTTTGGCTTGGGTGTCTTCTGAAGATAAGGATGTGGCCATTCACCACCCAACCCTGGTTCAACATCAGACAGGAAAGTCCAGTACAGCCCTCATAACACTGGTCTTCTTCCTTCAACTAATGGCTTACTGACCATCCCTCTATTCTGCTTAAAGTGACAGAGACTATGGAGCAAAAGGGGGAAAGGCTTCAATTCCAGTTTTACCATTTACTGTTAACTCTTAGCAAATAATACTCACTTGAAATGGGTGGGGAACAACTAAATGTAGTCATATCTGTAAGGTTATGACATAGTTCAGCAGAGGGCTGAACGAAAGCAGAGACTCAGTGTTGCCGCTTGCGTCCTGTCCCTCTCTGCCTTCTCACACATCACGATCCCTTCCTGCTAATTGTACCTCTTTAGTCCTCCGTGTTAGACAAATATCTTCCCATTATCACAAGCAGCAGATTTGGCCCTCTGCATCAGCCCTGTTCACAAGCCCAGGAATGCACAGGCCAGCATCAGTATTTATCTCAAGGTGACACTTGTAATGGATGATTGCTGCACTTCTTAATCCATTTATGTAATCCTTTCTGCTTTGCTTGCAGTTATTTTCAGGGCTTTAGCAGCAATAAAATGGTTCCTTTCCCAAGACAGAGTTCATTCAATTTAAATCTGGATTGATTATAGCTAAAGTTATGACATGTCTTTACAAAGGAAGAAAAAAACAGCAATAAATTATGCACAGTGATTATTTGGCATTTATTTAGTTCCCACAGTATCCTGGGCTCAGCGTATGACAATTGGGGATAAATCCCTGCCCTTGAGAATCAAAGCACAGTTGTAGATATAAAAAGACAAACAGGGATGCGGTTAGTGGACTCATGGTCCACACTTGTTCCTGCAATTTTCCTTAGATGCATTCTACTGACACTGTCCTTGACTTTTGACCTCTGCTCCCAAAGGCTTTTTTTCTTCCTTCTCCTTAAGCAGTTTCAGTTTAAGCCTAAGACATTTACCAGGGCTAGAGTTTAGAATGAACATGGTGATAACTGCCTAACATTCATGGGATTCCTTCTGTGGTGGCCTGGTGCACACAAGGGCGTGCATTGGGAAAGGGTGGTGGGTTCTGTGCAGACAAAAGGACTTGCTTCTAACTGTGTTCTTGTGAGAAGATACTCATGTATGTATGCACCAATAAGAGGATTTGGCTGCCAAATGGATGGATAATTGGATGGACTTGGAGAACACGAAATCAAATCTAATTTATGTAACACAATAATGCGAATTGAATTCAAGTAAATATTTATGACTTAGCTTTGAAAATATTGTGGTGCTTTTAGTTCATAGAAGTCCCACTGACCATATCCCTTGATAATCATTTATATAATGTCCAAAGAAGAAAACATAAAGAGGGAGAAAGACGTAGTATATTTTTAAATTTTGTCCATTTGACTTTAAAGGAAAAGAATGTGAGAGGGGGAGATTCAGATGAATCAAGATTAGTAAGAATAGCTGGCATTGAGTGCCAGGCACGTTACATTCAATTCTTCAAATGATTACATGTTATAGATGAGGAAGCAGAAGTTCAGAGCCATTAAATAACTTTCCAACTAAAAGGAAACATAGCCATGATGTGATTGAAGGCAGTTGTAACTTTACTGCGGCTCCAAAGCACTTAACCACTATGCTATACTGCCATCTAGGACCCAGTGCACAAATATGCACCATATTCACACACAAAAAAATCATTTTCTCTAACATGTTGATTAACTTTGAAGTTAAAAATAAAACTAAAACCCTTTTCTTTATTACATTTATGTGTGAAATTTCACTGCCAGGTAAATATAATACAGTGGTTGTCTCTAATGTGTCCTAGATATAATTTAAATTATATTTAAGTGATGGCTTAGAGTCAGGATTTATTTAGAATGAAGAAGCAGTTTATTTTGTCTTTTTGAAGATAAAGGCAATTATTTTAATTTGCCAAATGTTTCATTTTCTTTCCTCTGAACTTTTTTTGCATAAAAAAGATGCAAGGAAATTTGAACCAAGACATGAATTTTAGCCAAGGTTTTTGTTTTGTTTTGTTTTTGTTGTTATTTTCAAAGGGTAGATGGGATCAAGAGAGAAATTAGGTCTTTTACTTTAGGTTCCCAGTAATTGAGAGCCTGAGGATGGATTTAATCCCAGGATTAAAGTTGTCCTCACAGAATCTTCCCACTCTATTCCCCAAAACACATGCTGAGCAATTGTGCTTACTGTTGTGTTTGCTTACACAGTGCATGTATTTGCTTACAGTTGACCTGGATAGGCTCAATGATGATGCCAAGCGTTACAGTTGCACTCCCAGGAATTACTCGGTCAATATAAGAGAAGAGCTGAAGTTGGCCAATGTGGTCTTCTTTCCACGTTGCCTCCTCGTGCAGCGCTGTGGAGGAAATTGTGGCTGTGGAACTGTCAACTGGAGGTCCTGCACATGCAATTCAGGGAAAACCGTGAAAAAGTATCATGAGGTATGTCATTCTTAGATTTCTTGTTGCAATGCTTAATCTATAGGATTCAGGAAGACAGGGCCATTGCATACAGTTGTTCAGGTTGTTCACTGCACAAGGGCACCCAGCCAGGGTTTGATTAGGAGCAGAAATTCTACCCACACTAGGTTTGCCAAGCCAAGTGTCCTGATGACAGGTTAATCCTATCCTGACGAAGGCACTGTTTTTTCTAATTTGAACAATACACCATGTGGATCAACATCAACATTGTTAGAATATATAATCAAATATGTGATACAGTAATTTCAGAGCTTGACCTACTTGCAGAAAGACAGAAAAAAAGAGAAATATGATGTTATTCATTTACAGGATATGACGGCACAATCTCATAAGCAAAACCTTAATTCAATTATATCATTTAATAAATTTGGCACAATAAAGATAGCAAAATATAAATTGTCAAAGATCTTTTTATTTTCTAAATATGAAGTATGTTTCAACCGGAAATGCTCAGTTTATTTTAACTATTATTAAGTGCTACTCAGGGAATCAGCTCTTGGATTATGCAAAAATAGACAAAAGTAAAAGAATATAGGAGGAACAAAAACTTAAAGAGCACAATAACCTTAATAATAGTAACAATGGCATTTATTGCTTGACAAAAACTATTGTAAGTAATCATTAGCTCATTTAGCACCCCATCAACAATATTGTAAAAATGTCACTATTTTTATTCTTTTTTTATAGGTGAGTAAACTGAGCCCTAAGAGGATCAGTAAGTTGGCCAGCATGGCCTGGTCAGTAAATCACAGAGCCAGGACTCCAACTCCAATCCACTGGTTCCAGGGTCTATGGTTTTTCTTATCACTAGTAATATATAGCACTTTATTGAGCATAAAAGATAGGCCGGGCGCAGTGGCTCACGCCTGTAATCCTAGCACTTTGGGAGGCCGAGGTGGGTGGATCACCTGAGGTCAGGAGTTCAAGAACAGCGTGGCCAACATGGCAAAACCCCGTCTCTACTAAAAATACAAAAATTAGCCAGGCGTGATGGCAGGCACCTGTAATCCCAGCTACTCAGGAGGCTGAGGCGGGAGAATCACTTGAACCCGGGAGGCGGAGGTTGCAGTGAGCTGAGATCGCGCCATTGCACTCCAGCCTGGGTAAAAGAAACTCCATCTCAAAAAAAAAATTACATATATATATATATATATATGTGTGTGTGTGTCTGTGTATATATATATATATATATACACAGACACACACACATAGAGAGAGAGAGAGAGAGTAGACTGAAGAGGAGTTAGAGCTCTTCCGTGACATAGGCAGCAGCTCTAATTACTTTATTATTGTGGAAACACATGCAAGTCACTAAAGTTTTGACTCAGTTTTCACATATTTAAATAGGACTGAAAAATTAATATATCAGATAACCCCTTCCAGAGTTGCTCTGAGGGTCAAATAAAATAATGCATATGAAATATATTTTGCAAGATGTTAAACATCATGCAGAAATATGTTTTAAAATATAAACTAAAATATGAAGCAAACATCATTGTTAGGAATTACTGTTTGAGTTGCTCTCCATCAGTGTCCACAGCAATCCCATTACTGGGTATATACCCAAATGATTATAGATCATTCTGCTATAAAGACACATGCACACATATGTTTATTGCAGCACTATTCACAATAGCAAAGACTTGGAACCAACCCAAATGCCCATCAGTGATAGACTGGATAAAGAAAATGTGGCACATATACACCATGGAATACTTTGCAGCCTTAAAAAAGGATGAGTTCACGTCCTTTGCAGAGACACGGATGAAGCTAGAAACCATCATTCTCAGCAAACTAACACAGGAACAGAAAACCAACCACCACATGTTCTCACTCATAAGTGAGAGTTGAACACAGGGACACAGGGAAGGGAACATCACACACTGGGGGCTGTCGGTGGGTTGGGGGTTGGGGGAGGGATAGCATTAGGAGAAATACCTAATGTAGGTGATGGGTTAAAGGGTGCAGCAAACCACCATGGCACGTGTATACCTACGTAACAAACCTGCACGTTCTGCACAAGTATCCCACAACTTAAAGTATAATAATAATTTTTAAAAAGTGTCCACCACAACAAAGGAATAGGTAGTTCTCTCTAAACAAAATCTCCAGCTTTGTAAAACTGTTTTTTGGAGGCTTTTGTGGTGGTGGTGGTGTTTTGGTTTTGATTTCTATTCTGAAAACAACACAAAAATCGTAGTAAGTTAGGAGGTAACTTCTGGATTAAGCAAAAATGAGTATGTAATAATTGATATTTTCAACTTGGAAAATGTAGGAAATTGTTCCACCATGACCATACTTACTTCAGACAGGGAAACACTATTTTAGCCCTACATGGAACATATTTTCTTAAGTCATAAGAATTGCTTGATCCACCCCACTGTTTTCAAAGGAAAAAAAATGTTCTCATATCTAGAGAATGCTATCATCTATGTTCATTGTGTTTTATTTTTGTATGAACTGATGAACTCTAGATTGGATGTTGTCCTTCACTTCTAAGAACCTGAATTTTATAACCTTTAATCATACCCCAAGGATAAATGCAGAATGCAGTAATCAGGTTATAGTTAAAATAATCTAGGAAGTGACAAGGTCTCTACCTAGTAGTAACTGTGAGGAAGAACATTCAAGGTCAGGACTTTGATGTATTTGTGGAGTGCTTTATTTTTATCTTGACTCTATGCTCAGATAGAATTTTTAGCTTGATTTAAAAAATTACTTATTGTGGGAAGAGCAGAGTGAACCATAGACCCCCAAAGACCCTTGCCTCCCAGCCAGTTAGTTTTGAAGAACACTGAAGGCCTGGCTACCCTCCTCCTCTTAGTTCCTTTCTTATCTCTCTACACAATAACCATTACTTGCAAATTTCTGTTCTCAGTTAATGTGTAGAGGGGAAAACTCTTGATCTCTTTGTTCAGTCGCATGAGTGGATTTGAAACATTGGCATCCTTTGAAACTGTATCTAAAGCATCTCTTTAAGACATGTGTCCTAATATTTTTACTTCTAGAACTCTGCAAAGCTCTATAAAATCACTCTGTCAAGTGCTGGATGAAAGGAAAAATAAACATCCATCACCAGCCAGTAACTGCTTACCTGGAACAAACACTCCTGTCATATGCCCCTGAGACTCCTGAAATACCTTTGAGATGTGTCACAATTATCACTGTCAAGTGCCCTGTGGGAAACAGCAAAAGGCTTATTCCATTTCCAGAAGTGGGGGTTGCTTGAGCCTAGTCTCATTAGGGAAAAATTCTAGTCCTTTATTCTGAATTCTGTGTCTGTATTCTTACCTCTGAGAAATGAGAAACCAGTTTCCCCAGCTCATGGTTGCAACTGATGAGATGTGAAATGAGTTTCTGTGAAAGATGAGCACCCTTAAGGGGGTAATGAGACCTTGTCACATAACAGGCTTGTGTGATTCTCCACAAATATTTCAGTGCTCAACCTTAAGGAATTTAAATCTGGGAAACTGGAAAGCTTCTAACGAAGCTAATATTGCTTTTTTCACAGGTCATATTAGTTGTCCTGTAGGGTTTTGAGCGGTTTTCACTGTGCAGTAAAATGTGACTGTCTTTATTATTTCTTGCTCTCAAAAGTTTGTAGGTACCCTGTTGAAGTATTTTTCCTCTTTCTAAACAATCATTCTATGCTTCTTGGAATATACTAGATATAGAGTAGGAAAAATACCTTTTCTTCCACCCTTCCTAGGTTCATGGCTGAGGCCACTATAACAAAAGACAGAATAACAAAGGAAAAGTGTACTCATTTATTGAATATGTTTTACGTGACACAGAGGCCTTGGTAAGGAAGACCCAAAAAAGTGGTTCAACCTGATAATTTTTTACAGTAAGTTTGATAAAGTGTGGATAGTTGTGGAGAAATATGATAGGGCAGAGTATGATCTAATGGTAATAAACTGGGGAAAATTAGCAAGGCCTGTTTGTTCAGATTCTTATTTGTTCTACCTTTGTCTTTGGAGATAAGGATTCTTAGGCCAGGAGCAGTGGCTCATGCCTGTAATCTCAGCACTTTGAGAGGCCAAGGTGGGATGATCCCTTGAGGCTATGAGTTCAAGATCAACCGGGTCAACATAGCGAGACCCCCCCATCTCTAAAAAAAAAATAAATAAATAATAAAAAAAAGGAATTATTTTTAAGTAGCCAAGTGTGGAGGATGTGTCTGTGGTCTGAGCTACTTGGGAGGCTGAGGCAGGAGAATTGCTTGAGCCCAGGAGTTCAAGGTTGCAGCAGAACATGATCATGCAACTGCACTCTAGCCTGGGTGACAGAGTAAGACCACATCTCAAACAAAAAGGCGGGGGGGAATTCTTCTTTCTTCTGGGTATAACAGGGGCACCTCTCGCATGAGGGTCTTATGACTTGCTACATGGGAAGGTCAGAAAATCCTAGGTTTTATGACTTCCTTCAGGATGGAGGGTGAGGGGAAGGTCAGAGTGATCTTTCTGCTTTTCTTGTTTTCTCAAATTCCTTCAGCTTAAAACATTTGGGAGTACAGTGTCCTGAACCCCATCATAGAATATAAAAGATAATTTGGGTAGTGATTTTTGTTAAAGGGAGGATTCCAGAAAAACGTATTGTGTAGACAATTAGAAGAAACTATTATTTCAGTTCTCTTCTCTTGATAGTGTATAATGAAGGAAGAGGATATTTCCTAAAAGTATAGTGACCTATTAAATTATTACTCAACTGTTTTTCATGATTTGGTGCCCTGGCTGTATCCATTTAGTCAACAGCCAAAAACATAGGAAGCATCAAAGAGATAAAGATAGATGTTAATTTCCTCTGTTCTTCCTCTCATAATTTTCTCAGGATGCTTGACCTAACCACCTGCACTGTCTAATAGATCTTCCTGTAGTGATAGGAATAACCTATATTTGCAATGTTCCATATGGTAGTCACTAGCAACATGTGGCTGTTGGGCACTTGAAATGTGTGTAGCACAAATAGAAACTAAATTTTTAATTTTATTTAGTTTTAACTAATTGAAATTTAAATTACCACACAAGGCCGTGACTACCTTGTTGAATGGCACAAGCCTATACCTATCTCTGATTCTGGCACATTTATAGCATCTAGAATCACTTAGACATCTAGACAAAATGAAAAAAAAATGACTTCTTCTTGTTCTAAGGTAGAATTTTGTATTAAACATTTGCATTTTATCACAGTTTAAGAGTTAGGAGATGTATTAATAAATTGGTACAGATTATCCTCAATGATGGTTAGATTTAGATTTTTTTTTTTTTTACTTTTCAGTGGGTTTATGGGGGGGTATTAATGCATTTTCAACTTAAAATATTTTTAACCTCCAATGGGTTTATCAGGATATAGCCCCATCATAAGTCAACGAGCATCTGTATTTATACATGAAATATGAGGTTAGAGTAATACACTGTTGACCTTCAGATTTGAGGTAAAAGAATAGTACTTTGTTTTTACATGTTTGAAACGTCTGTTATTGAAAAAAAAGTACCTAAATTTTCAAATTGAGACCAAAGAAACAGAAAATAAATTTCGCGCAAGGAGTTTTCCTTCTCTAGCAATAGGGAGGGAGTTTTTGGGTCATGATTATACCTAACCATAATAAAAGTCAAGAAAATCTCTTTTCTGTTATTTTTTTGGAAACCTCATAGCTAGAACTTGTGGAGTCTCTCTGCCTCTTGTCCTTTCTCCACCTTTAAGTGAAGCCTCATGGTCTGTGATGTTTTCCTACCAAGAGAGGGCAATAGAGCAGAAAACTTGCAGGACTAGAAAAGATGTGGGTTCTGGTTCCAGCTTTGCCACATGGAGGGGCAACTGAGGACCAGCCACTTAAAACTTCCCAGGGCCTCAGGTTTCCTCACTTAATCCCCATAATAACCTACAATTTTGAGTTCCCAGGCAAACCTGAAATTACATCATATTCATTATCTGTTGTTACACTTTATCCTGCCCCCAAAATCTTAATGAAATTGTGTAAGGAATAAAAACAAATTGGTGGTTGAAATGCTAGGTAAATGCAAAAAGAATAAAGATATGATCCAGAACAGTAAATGTTTATAGACTGCTTATAAAAAAGTTAATTCACTCATCTTGACAATGGCAATGATAACACATGTGCTTCTTACCACCTGGGGATACTGGGTGAATGAAGGCATCTGAAGACTATAAAGTACAAGACAGATGTGGGTGGAATTAGATGAGAGCCTGGTCTGGCTTTCTCAGTTCTGATTACATTTCTTCCCTGATGACTCACTTACAAGTTAGTGAACTCCTTGTTTAAGTATTACAAACTGCACACCTTCTCCCTTCTCAATCTAGCTTCACATCAGGCCTTCCTGCCAAAGCGGCAAACTTGCCACATGGGGCAAGGTACTCCCCAAGCAGACAAGGCCCATCTGTGTCATGAGTGATACCCAATGCTAATGCCATGCTCTGAAATGTAGTGCCCACCCAGGCTTTCCATTATGTTTTCTGCAATTGGTAGGCTGAACATGTAGTCAATAATCCTCTAAGGTGCTGTCAAAATCATTTAACTATTTAGTTCTGTAAAGTTAAAACTGCAACTGAGTACACCTCATAGTAACCCTAGAGTCTCACAGAACGCATCTATTTGAAGTAAATATGCACAGATATCATGATTGCATTTTCAAAATTCATGAGCATGTTATAAACTCCCACTATAACCCAGCTTTTTGTCACCTTCAAGCTTAACTTCTTAATATAACACTGTTGAGCTGTTTGTCATTTATGTCTTTTTAACTGAGTACTGTGTCTTGGGACTTGATATCAGTCCTTCTGTTACAATGCCAGCCACTGCTGTGATTATTGCCTGCAGGTTGAGTAATTACTCAGGGAGGAAATAATATGTTATCCCTTCTCAAGATATTTTTGCTTGTAGTCACTTAGGTTTCAGAATAATTCACTAGCATCCCTTAAAAATATTGACTCTGTGTACATTTTTTATAAAGGCTATAAGCATGAAAGAGATCAAAAGAGAAGCTTTTTTTTTTCCTTGAGAAACTGTGTGTGCTGAAAACAGCCTGGTTTAGAAGTTAGGAAGAGACCGGGCGCAGTGGCTCATGCCTGTAATCCCAGCATTTTGGGAGGCTGAGGCAGGCAGATCACCTGAGGTCAGGAGTTCAAGACCAGCCTGGCCAACGTGGGGAAACCCCATCTCTACTAAAAATACAAAAATTAGCCAGGCGTGGTGGCACGTGCCTGTAGTCCCAGCTACTTGGGAGGCTGAGGCAGGAGAATCACTTGAACCCGGGAGGTGGAGGTTGCAGTGACCCGGGATCACACCATTGCACTCTAGCCTGGGCAAGAAGACTGAAACTCCATCTCAAAAAAAAAAAAAAAAAAAAAAAGGAAGAATCTTAAACTCTTAATGATTTGGGTTTATATAATGCATTTGTCCTGAAATACGTACTTGTGTTCCTAAGTCAGCCATTAATTTGAGAACTGTTACAAGGCCTTAACAGCCTTTTTTTATATTCTCAATAAACAAGAACCAGACTCAGCAGATAGCTTTTCTGCCTGGTATTGTTTTATTAGTGTAAATAGCTTTATGGTGAAGATTTATTCAGACGTTTATTGGCAACAAGGTGAGTAACTGTAGTTAAATATCTTTTGTGATGAGGTAATTTGCAAAACTGAGCATCTTTGATTTTGTATGGTGGTATGAAACCCACCAATTGGCTCAGTCACACTCCATTTAGTAGACGTCAAGTTTCCCTGGCTTTGTGTGGTTTTCCAGAGTGGAGAGGAGTCAAGATCCCCATTTGCACCCATAGGTGTTAAGAAATGCTGGTTGCCCGCCAGTGGATTTGTTATTTCTGGTTGTGTGCTTCCAGCTGTGAATCATAGCTCAGAAAATAAGAAAGTGTTGTGTGAGGGTACCTATTAACAAGTGCCCTTCAGCTCCTATAATTAATTCAGTGTTCCTTCCCTTTAAAGGTGACCAGATAACCTATAACCGCCAGTTTGCTTTCTCAGATAAAGGCTTTTCATTTTTCTACATGCCCTCAAATCAGCCTTGCTTTCTTCCTTCTTTCAATGCTGTGTACCTGAACCTAAGACTATTACATGATCTGAAAGCTTTGAACATCAGTGCTGTGATCATCCAGTAAGGCAGTCCAATTTCCACTTTGTTCAAATAGTGCTCTCCTGTCTTGTCTGGGAAAAGGTGTCTGCCAATTCATTTTTCTCTTCTTATCAGCAAAACACATATATACCGTGCTCACGTTGCTTAATATAAAACACAGAGAAAATCCCTGAACAATCAGAAGACCAGTTAGAAAAACTGCCCAGGCTCTTGCTCTTATCCCAAAGCACACACTTTTGTTTGCCGTCAAATGAGAAAGCAAATCGACAAAGCTCTGATTTTACAGGTGCCAGTCATCACAAATTATTAGGCCTTGATAACAGTCTTCTTTAAACAAGGAATATTTATCATATGCTCAGCTTCTTAGAAATAATTTCCCTCTCCTGCATCCCCTAGTTCTCAAATCTCTTTTACAGGCCAGATAGTCTTGGAAAATAGCAATTAATTCATCTTGGAGAAATTCTTGGCAAAGCTATGGGAGTCCAAACCCCAACCCCTTCCAAGGTACCTATTGTAAGTGCAATAGAATTGCAGGAGATGATAATAGAATCAACTATCAAAACTGGCCTTTGGACTAGCTTTACCAATATCAAAATTTCTGACACTTTGTCTCCCTAAAGAACTTTCTTAGGGTATTCCTTCCTCCACCCCCTGCCAACTTTGTACTGACAAGTCTTTTGAAGTTTTTCTACAAACAGATCTCCATCTTCCATTCTGCATCAGCAGAGTGCCCTAACTTGATTGAACATTAAACAAATGCAGTGATTTATTCCCTGCCTCACTGGACCGTCTATGGAACAGCATGGCAAAATTCTAAATGAAAGGAATGTGCAGACCGTGATGCATGAGTGCAGGGGACTCCAGGCATCTAACTTTCACCTAGGACAAAAGTTCAAGCAAAGCATCACAGGTCTCCCTGCCGGTTCACATGGGGAGCCAGACACACCCTTGAGACATAAAAGGAAATTGAAGGCATGTTAGAGAGGCCTCAAGTCAGAATATGCTAGGAGCTTAAATGTCCTGATCCCAGGTCCTGGTCCCAGGTCCAAGTCAGGGGAAGACCCTGGACAAGGTACTTATCCTCCTTTAGAATCTCAGTATAAAGTGGGCATAATGATACCTTTTCCACCATGTGAAAGATTTGTCTGAGGGTAAAAAGAAAAAAAAAAATAGTGCCTGTGCAAATTATTCAAAAACTGTAAAATGCTATAGAATTGTTTAATGGTGCCATGACCAAGTTTAGAATCTAAAAGGAAAATGGGACAAAATCAAAAATAAAGGCTAACCGGGATCTAAGAACATAAAGTAAATAATATATTAATCTGACTATGTATATTAGAAAACAAGAATGGAATTTTACCAAGTATATGTCTATGTAATAGCTAATATTTCACTAAATGAAGGCCACTGCAGGGAAGAAGGGTTGGCTTCTATTTAACTACTAATTTAAGAAATTATGTTTAAACTTATGAATTTAAAAATTAATGATATACTTATTGATTTAAGAAATGCTGTATTGATACACAGGTATTAATATACAAAGATTTTAGTGGAACCTGATTTGTTTTAAATGGTAAAGGATATTATATGTTAACAAATATATAAAAACATAAAACACATTTTACTTATTTATGGCCACTAATGACCTTCATCAGGGCAACATGTTGTGTGTTTTTTTTTTAATACTTTAAGTTGTGGGGTACATGTGCAGAATGTGCAGGTTTGTTACATAGGTATACATGTGCCATGGTGGCTTGCTGCACCCATCAACCCGTCATCTACATTAGGTATTTCTCCTAATGCTATCCCTTCCCTAGTCCCGCACCCACAAACAGGACCTGGTGTGTGATGTTCCCCTCCCTGTGTCCATGTCTTCTCATTGTTCAACTCCCACTTACAAGTGAGAACATGTGGTGTTGGGTTTTCTGTTCTTGTGTTAGTTTGCTGAGAATGATGGTTTCCAGCTTCATCCATATCTCTGCAAAGGACATGAACTCATCCTTTTTATGGCTGCATAGTATTTCATGGTGTATATGTGCCATGTTTTCTTTATCCAGTCTATCACTGATGGACATTTGGGTTGGTTCCAAGTCTTTGCTATTGTGATCAGTGCTGCAATAAACATATGTGTGCATGTGTCTTTATAATAGAATGATTTATATTCCTTTGGGTATATACTCAGTAATGGGATTGCTGGGTCAAATGATATTTCTGGTTCTAGATCCTTAAGGAATCTCCACACTGTCTTCCACAATGGTTGAACTAATTTACATTCCCACCAACAGTGGAAAAGTGTTCCTATTTCTCCACATCCTCTCCAGCATTTGTTGTTTCCTGACTTTTTAGTGATCACCATTCTAACTAGCATGAGATGGTATGTCACTGTGGTTTTGTTTTGCATTTCTCTAACGACCAATGATGATGAGGTTTTTTTCATATGTTTGTTGGCTGCATAAATGTCTTCTTTTGAGAAGTGTCTGCTCATATCCTTTGCCCATATTTTGACGGGGTTGTTTTTTTCTTGTAAATTTGTTTAAGTTCTTCGTAGATTCTGGATATTAGCCTTTGTCAGATCGATAGATTGCAAAAATTTTCTCCCATTCTGTAGGTTGCTTGTTCACTCTGATGACAGTTTTTTTTTGCTGTGCAGAAGCTCTATAGTTTAATCAGATCCCACTTGTCTATTTTGGCTTTTGTTGCCATTGCTTTTGGTGTTTTAGTCATGAAGTCTTTGCCCATGTCCATATCCTGAATGGTATTGCCTAGGTTTTCTTCTGGGTTTTTATGGTTTTATGTCTTATATTTAAGTCTTTAATTCATCTTGAGTTAACTTTTGTATAAGGTGTAAGGAAGGGATCCAGTTTCAGCTTTCTGCATATGGCTAGCCAGTTTTTCCAACACCATTTATTAAATAGGGAATCCTTTTTCCATTGCTTGTTTTTGTCAGGTTTGTCAAAGATCAGATGGATGTAGATTGCAGTGTAATTTCTGAGGTCTCTGTTCTGTTCCATTGGTCTATATATCTGTTTTGGTACCAGTACCATGCAGTTTTGGTTACTGTAGCCTTATAGTATAGTTTTAAGTCAGGTAGCATGATACCTCCAGCTTTGTTCTTTTTGCTTAAGATTGTCTTGGCTCTGTGGGCTCTTTTTTTGGTTCCATATGAAATTTAAAGTTGTTTTTTCCAATTCTGTGAAGAAAGTCAATGGTAGCTTGATGGGGGTAGCACTGAATCTATAATTTACTTTGGGCAGTATGGCCATTTTCATGATTCTTACTATCTGTGAGCATGGAATGTTTTTCCATTTGTTTGTGTCCTCTCTTATTTCCTTGATCAGTGGTTTGTAGTTCTCCTTGAAGAGTTCCTACGTGTCCCTTGTAAGTTGTATTCCTAGGTATTTTATTCTCTTTGTAGCAATTGTGAATGAGAGTTCACTCATGATTTGGCTCTCTGTTTGTCTATTATTGGCGTATAAGAATGCTTGTGATTTTTGCACATTGATTTTGTGTCCTGAGACTTTGCTGAAGTTGCTTATCAGCTTAAGGAGTTTTTGGCCTGAGACGATGGGGTTTTCTAAATATACAAACATGTCATCTGCAAACAGAGACAATATGACTTCCTCTCTTTCTATTTGAATACCCTTTATTTCTTTCTATTGCCTGATTGCCCTGGCCAGAACTTCCAATAGTATCTTGAATAGGAGTGGTGAGAGAGGGCATCCTTGTCTTGTGCCAGTTCTCAAAGGGAATGCTTCCAGTTTTTGCCCATTCAGTATGATATTGGCTGTGGGTTTGTATAAATAGCTCTTATTATTTTGAGATACATTCCATCGATACCTAGTTTACTGAGAATTTTTAGCATGAAGGGCTGTTGAATTTTGACAAAGGCCTTTTCTGCATCTATTGAGATAATCATGTGGTTTTTGTCATTGGTTCTGTTTATGTGATGGCCTACATTTATTGATTTGCATATTTTGAACCAGCCTTGCATCCCAGGGATGACGCCAACTTGATCATGGTAGATAAGCTTTTTGATGTGCTGCTGGATTTGGTTTGCCAGTATTTTATTGAGGATTTTCACATCAATGTTCATCAGGGATATGGGCCTGAAATTTCCTCTTTTTGTTGTGTCACTGCTAGGTTTTGGTATCAGGATGATGCTGGCCTCGTAAAATGAGTTAGGGAGGATTCCCATTTTCTATTTTTTGGAATAGTTTCAGAAGGAATAGTACCAGCTTCTCTTTGTACCTCTGGTAGAATTTGGCTGTGAATCCGTCTGGTCCTGGACTTTTTTTGGTTGGTAGGCTATCAATTACTGCTTCAATTTTAGAACTTGTTACTGGTATATTCAGGGATTTGACTTCTTCCTGGTTTAGTCTTGAGAGGGTGTATGTGTTTTGGGAGCCAAAAAGGCCAAAGGGATCATGACCAACTCAGCATTCCACTGGAGGCTACTTGATCAAACAGCAAACTGTTTATCGTGAATACAGAATGTGGGCAAACTTACTTCTGTGCCTGCCCTAGAAGGTTTGCTGAGGGCCATCACTCCCTGGCACTGGCTCCTTGAGGTTATCTACTGGGACATCTAGAGCCTATTGTTTGAGGAATGCAGTCTTGCAGGCCTACTCTGGACCTAACAGCTGACCTCTTCTTCCAACTCACCCTCTCGCTATCTCTTTTGCCTAATAAATACAGAGGGTGGTGTAAAGCTCAGGGCCCTTGTCCATTAGAGGCAAGTTGCCCCCTGACCCCTACTTCCAAACATACTCTTTTGTCTTTGTCTTTTATTTCTGCATTCACCCCCTTTTGTTCTGTCCCCCAAGGTCCATACAGGCTACATATGTGTCCAGGAATTTATCCATTTCTTCTAGATTTTCTAGTTTATTTGCATAGAGGTGTTTATAATATTCTCTGATAATAGTTTGTATTTCTGTGGGATCGGTGGTGATATCCCCTTTATCATTTTTTATTGCATCTCTTTGATTCTTCTCTCTTTTCTTCTTTATTAGTCTGTCTAGTGGTCTATTTTGCTGATCTTTTCAAAAAACCAGCTCCTGGATTCATTGATTTATTTGAAGGGCTTTTTGTGTCTCTATCTCCTTCAGTTCTGCTCTGATCTTAGTTATTTCTTGTCTTCTGCTAGCTTTTGAATTTGTTTGCTCTTTCTTCTCTAGTTCTTTTAATTGTGATGTTAAGGTGTCTATTTTAGATATTTCCTGCTTTCTCTTGTAGGCATCTAGTGCTATAAATTTCCCTCTACACACTGCTTTAAATATGCCCCAGAGATTCTGGTACATTGTGTCTTTGTTCTCATTGGTTTCAAAGAACATCTTTATTTTTGCCTTCATTTTGTTATTTACCCAGTAGTCATTCAGGAGCAGGTTGTTCAGTTTCCATGTAGTTGTGTGATTTTGAGTGAGTTTCTTAATTCTGAGTTCTAAATAGATTGCACTGTAGTCTGAGAGACTGTTTGTTAGGATTTCTGTTCTTTTGCATTTGCTGAGGAGTGTTTTACTTAAAATTACATGGTCAATTTTAAAATAGGTGTAATGTGATGCTGAGAAGAGTGTATATTCTGTTGATTTGGGGTGGGGAGTTCTGTAGATATCTATTAGGTCCGCTTGGTCCAGAGCTCAGTTCAACTCCTGGATATCCTTGTTAATTTTCTGTCTCATTGATCTGCCTAATATTGGCAGTGGGGTGTTAAAGTGTCTATTTATTATTTAGACTCCCACTATTATTGTGTGGGAGTCAAAGTCTCTTTGTAGGTCTCTAAGAACTTGCTTTATGAATCTGGGTGCTCCTGTATTGGGTGCATGTATATTTAGGATAGTTAGCTCTTCTTGTTCCATTGATGCCTTTACCATTATGTAATGGCCTTCTTTGTCTCTTTTGATCTTTGTTGGTTTAAAGTCTGTTTTATCAGAGACTAGGATTGCAACCCCTGCTTTTTTTTTTTGTTTTCCATTTACTTGGTAAATCTTCCTCCATCCCTTTATTTTGAGCCTATGTGTGTCTTTTCATGTGAGATGGGCCTCCTGAATACAGCACACTGATGGGTCTTGACTCTTTATCCAATTTGCCAGTCTGTGTCTTTTAATTGGGGAATTTAGCCCATTTACATTTAAGGTTAATATTATTATGTGTGAATTTGATCCTGCCATTATGACACTAGCTGGTTATTTTGCCCGTTAGTTGATGCACTTTCTTCATAGCATCAATGGTCTTTACAATTTGGGATGTTTTTGCAGTGGCTGGTACCAGTTGTTCCTTTCCATGTTGGTGCTTCCTTCAGGAGCTCTTGTAAGGCAGGCCTGGTGGTGACAAAAATCTGTCAGCATTTGCTTCTCTGTAGAGGATTTTATTTCTCCTTCACTTAGGAAGCTTGGTTTGGCTGGATATGAAATTCTGGGTTGAAAATTATTTTCTTTAAGAATGTGGAATATTGGCCCTCACTCTCTTCTGGCTTGTAGGGTTTCTGCCGGGAGATCCGCTGTTAGTCTGATTGGCTTCCCTTTGTGGGTAACCCAACCTTTCTCTCTGGCTGCCCTTAACATTTTTTCCTTCATTTCAACCTTGGTGAATCTGAAGATTATGTGTCTTGGGATTGTTCTTCTCGAGGAGTATCTTTATGGTGTTCTCCATATTTCCTGAATTTGAATGTTGGCCTGCCCTGATAGATGGGGAAATTCTCCTGGATAATACCCTGAAGAGTGTTTTCCAACTTGATTCCATTCTCCCCATCACTTTGGGGGACACCAATCAAATGTAGATTTGGTCTTTTCACATAGTCCCATAATTCTTGGAGGCTTTGTTTGTTTCTTTTCACTCTTTTTTCTGTAATCTTGTCTTCTCACTTTCTTTTATTAATTTGATCTTCAATCACTGATATCCTTTCTTCTGCTTGATCGATTTGGCTATTGAAGCTTGTGTATGCTTCATGAAGTTCTTGTCTTGCGTTTTTCAGCTCCATCAGGTCATTTATGTTCTTCTCTACACTGATTATTCTAGTTAGCAATTCATCTAACCTTTTTTCAAGGTTCTTAGCTTCCTTGCATTGGGTTAGAACATGCTCCTTTAGCTCGGAGGAGTTTGTTATTACCCACCTTCTGAAGCCTACTTCTGTCAATTCCTCAAACTCATTCTCCATCTGGTTTTGTTCCCTTGCTGGCGAGGAGTTGTGATCCTTTGGTTGAGAAGAGGAGTTCTGGTTTTTGGAATTTTCAGTGTTTCTGCACTGGTTTTTCCCCATCTTTTTGGTTTTATTTACCTTTGGTCTTTGATGTTGTTGACCTTCAGATGGGGTCTCTGAGTGGATGTCCTTTTTGTTAATGTTGATACTATTCCTTTCTGTTTGTTACTTTTCCTTCTAACAGTCAGGCCGCTCTGCTGCAGGTCTGCTGGAGTTTGCTGGAGGTCCACTCCAGACCCTGTCTCCTGTATGAAATGTCTATTGGCCCCTAATGGGAGATGTCTCCCAGTCAGGATACATGGGGGTCAGGGACCCACTTGAGGAGGCAGCCTGTCCCTTATCAGAGCTCAAATGCTGTGCTGGGAGATCCGCTGCTCTCTTCAGAGCCTCCAGGCAGGAATGTTTAAGTCTGAGAAGCTGCACCCACAGCCACCCCTTCCCCCAGGTTCTCTGTCCCAGGGAGATGGGGGTTTTATCTATAAGTCCCTGACTGGGGCTGCTGCCTTTCTTTCAGAGATGACCTGCCCAAAAAGGAGGAATCTAGAGAGGCAGTTTGGCCACAGCGGCCTTGCTGAGCTGCGGTGGGCTCCGCCCCATTCAAACTTCCCAGTAGCTTTGTTTACACTTTGAGGGTAAAACCGCCTCGCCTACTCAAGCCTCAGCAATGGCAGACGCCCCTCCCCTCACCAAGCTCAAGCATCCCAGGTCAATCTCAGACTGCTGTGCTGGCAGGAGAATTTCAAGCCAGTGGATCTTAGCTAGCTGGGCTCCATGGGGGTGGGACCCACTGAGCCAGACCACTTGGATCCCTGGAGTGAATGGTTCTGTCTTGCTGGCATTCCAGGCGCCACTGGGGTATGAAAAATAAACTGCTGCGGCTAGCTCGGTGTCTGTCCAAATGGCCGCCCAGTTTTGTGCTTGAAACCCAGGGCCCTGGTGGCATAGGCACTGGGGGAAATCTCCTGGTCTGCCAGTTGCAAAGACTATGGGAAAAGTGCAGTATCTGGACTAGAGTGCACCATTCCTCCTGGTACAGTCTCTCATGGCTTCCCTTGGCTGGGGGAAGGAGATCCCCCACCCCCTTGCACTTCGCGGCTGAGGGGACACCCCACCCTGCTTCAGCTCACCTTCCGTGGGCTGCACCCAATGTCTAACCAGTCCCAGTGAGATGAACTGGGTACCTCAGTTGGGAATGGAGAAATCACCCGCCTTCTGCATTGATCTCGCTGGGAACTGCAGACCAGAGCTGTTCCTGTTCGGCCATCTTGCCAGCAACTCCAGGGCAACATGTTTTACTTCAACCAAAGATTTAGATATACCAGCATATTTTATTCATGGTTGTATTCATTTTCCTCTCCATGCTAATAATATGCTCAAGTATTGTATTCATCTATAACACATGCCTTGGTCAGAAGGATCTTTACGATAATATTTGGAACAGTACTTGGCCCAAAGCAGGCCCTTAGAAAGCTATTAATAAATACCTGCTAAGACACATGAAATCATCTGGGTACTTCAGGTAAGTTATGCTGGGCATTACTCTGGGATCAATTGATTCCTCCACTTCAGGGAGTCAATTATTTGAAAAATGTGTACATTCTAATAGCAACGTGTGCATTCTAATAGCAAGCCCATAGCTTCTGTTGGGTTCTCAAAGGGCTAAGAACTAGTTGTCAAAAAGGTAATAAGTAGGTGGCATCTGACTGAGTTGAACTCCAAAGGCTTTCTAACAGGAGATGTGCTTCTTGTCCTAGGTATTACAGTTTGAGCCTGGCCACATCAAGAGGAGGGGTAGAGCTAAGACCATGGCTCTAGTTGACATCCAGTTGGATCACCATGAACGATGTGATTGTATCTGCAGCTCAAGACCACCTCGATAAGAGAATGTGCACATCCTTACATTAAGCCTGAAAGAACCTTTAGTTTAAGGAGGGTGAGATAAGAGACCCTTTTCCTACCAGCAACCAAACTTACTACTAGCCTGCAATGCAATGAACACAAGTGGTTGCTGAGTCTCAGCCTTGCTTTGTTAATGCCATGGCAAGTAGAAAGGTATATCATCAACTTCTATACCTAAGAATATAGGATTGCATTTAATAATAGTGTTTGAGGTTATATATGCACAAACACACACAGAAATATATTCATGTCTATGTGTATATAGATCAAATGTTTTTTTTGGTATATATAACCAGGTACACCAGAGCTTACATATGTTTGAGTTAGACTCTTAAAATCCTTTGCCAAAATAAGGGATGGTCAAATATATGAAACATGTCTTTAGAAAATTTAGGAGATAAATTTATTTTTAAATTTTGAAACACAAAACAATTTTGAATCTTGCTCTCTTAAAGAAAGCATCTTGTATATTAAAAATCAAAAGATGAGGCTTTCTTACATATACATCTTAGTTGATTATTAAAAAAGGAAAAATATGGTTTCCAGAGAAAAGGCCAATACCTAAGCATTTTTTCCATGAGAAGCACTGCATACTTACCTATGTGGACTATAATAACCTGTCTCCAAAACCATGCCATAATAATATAAGTGCTTTAGAAATTAAATCATTGTGTTTTTTATGCATTTTGCTGAGGCATGCTTATTCATTTAACACCTATCTCAAAAACTTACTTAGAAGGTTTTTTATTATAGTCCTACAAAAGACAATGTATAAGCTGTAACAGAATTTTGAATTGTTTTTCTTTGCAAAACCCCTCCACAAAAGCAAATCCTTTCAAGAATGGCATGGGCATTCTGTATGAACCTTTCCAGATGGTGTTCAGTGAAAGATGTGGGTAGTTGAGAACTTAAAAAGTGAACATTGAAACATCGACGTAACTGGAAATTAGGTGGGATATTTGATAGGATCCATATCTAATAATGGATTCGAACTCTCCAAACTACACCAATTAATTTAATGTATCTTGCTTTTGTGTTCCCGTCTTTTTGAAATATAGACATGGATTTATAATGGCATTTTATATTTGGCAGGCCATCATAGATTATTTACAACCTAAAAGCTTTTGTGTATCAAAAAAATCACATTTTATTAATGTAAATTTCTAATCGTATACTTGCTCACTGTTCTGATTTCCTGTTTCTGAACCAAGTAAAATCAGTCCTAGAGGCTATGGTTCTTAATCTATGGAGCTTGCTTTAAGAAGCCAGTTGTCAATTGTGGTAACACAAGTTTGGCCCTGCTGTCCTACTGTTTAATAGAAAACTGTTTTACATTGGTTAATGGTATTTAGAGTAATTTTTTCTCTCTGCCTCCTTTGTGTCTGTTTTAAAGGAGACTAACTCCAGGAGTAGGAAATGATTCATCATCCTCCAAAGCAAGAGGCTTAAGAGAGAAACACCGAAATTCAGATAGCTCAGGGACTGCTAACAGAGAACTACATTTTTCTTATTGCCTTGAAAGTTAAAAGGAAAGCAGATTTCTTCAGTGACTTTGTGGTCCTACTAACTACAACCAGTTTGGGTGACAGGGCTGGTAAAGTCCCAGTGTTAGATGAGTGACCTAAATATACTTAGATTTCTAAGTATGGTGCTCTCAGGTCCAAGTTCAACTATTCTTAAGCAGTGCAATTCTTCCCAGTTATTTGAGATGAAAGATCTCTGCTTATTGAAGATGTACCTTCTAAAACTTTCCTAAAAGTGTCTGATGTTTTTACTCAAGAGGGGAGTGGTAAAATTAAATACTCTATTGTTCAATTCTCTAAAATCCCAGAACACAATCAGAAATAGCTCAGGCAGACACTAATAATTAAGAACGCTCTTCCTCTTCATAACTGCTTTGCAAGTTTCCTGTGAAAACATCAGTTTCCTGTACCAAAGTCAAAATGAACGTTACATCACTCTAACCTGAACAGCTCACAATGTAGCTGTAAATATAAAAAATGAGAGTGTTCTACCCAGTTTTCAATAAACCTTCCAGGCTGCAATAACCAGCAAGGTTTTCAGTTAAAGCCCTATCTGCACTTTTTATTTATTAGCTGAAATGTAAGCAGGCATATTCACTCACTTTTCTTTGCCTTTCCTGAGAGTTTTATTAAAACTTCTCCCTTGGTTACCTGTTATCTTTTGCACTTCTAACATGTAGCCAATAAATCTATTTGATAGCCATCAAAGGAATAAAAAGCTGGCCGTACAAATTACATTTCAAAACAAACCCTAATAAATCCACATTTCCGCATGGCTCATTCACCTGGAATAATGCCTTTTATTGAATATGTTCTTATAGGGCAAAACACTTTCATAAGTAGAGTTTTTTATGTTTTTTGTCATATCGGTAACATGCAGCTTTTTCCTCTCATAGCATTTTCTATAGCGAATGTAATATGCCTCTTATCTTCATGAAAAATAAATATTGCTTTTGAACAAAACTACTCCATTATTTAGTACTCAATTGCAGTTTTAAAAGGTGTACACTGCTAAAAAAGAAAAAAAAAAAGAAAAGAAAACTTCCAGCTGGACGCGGGGGCTCAAGCCTGTAATCCTAGCACTTGGGGAGGCCGAGGGGGTGGATCACACGGAGATCGAGACCATCCTGGTCAACATGGCGAAACCCTGTCTCTACTAAAAATACAAAAATGAGCCAGGTGTGGTGGTGGGCGCCTTTAGTCCCAGCTACTCAGGAGATTGAGGCAGGAGAATCACTTGAACCGGGAGGCAGAGGTTGCAGTAAGCCGAGATCACGCCACTGCACTCCAGCCTGGGCTGCAGAACAAGACTCCTTTCAAAAAAAAAAAAAAGGAAAACTTTTTTTCACAAATGCATCAAACTGTTTGGAATGACAAGATTGAGTGATTTCTGAAGGCTTCATTTTATAATGCCCGAAAGAACAACACTTTGTTCCCCAATTACAGGCTTCTGTTCTGTCTTTGTCCTGCAGCTGCACAGTGGGGCAAGACTTGGGTTTGGTTTTGTTGCTGCTTTGTTGCTTCTTCATTTGACTGTTTCCCCATGAGTCTTATAATGAATTATGTTCTCCTCTGACATTGTTCCTCACCTAAGAAAATCCACAGCTGTCTCTTCCTTGAGGCCTGAAGTCAACAACATTACAACCTCATTTCCCTTTTATCCACCTCCTTTTCCCATCTGGGTGGACACCCCAGCCAACTAGTGATTCAGTGTTATCAGTTCAGACAGACCAGTTTAGGAGCTACACTCCTATATCATTTGCTTTGTAATTTGTGAAGAGGCACATAGCATAAAGAGAGCTCTTCTAGCTGCAATGCACATGCAAGAATTTTTGCTTTTGATTATAGCCTAATCTTTATATCATCCTGCTGGAGACAAAATAGCAGCTGCAGTGTTGAATGAAACTCTGCCATTTTAGTGGTTTTAGGTCATTTGGGGAATGGGAGTAAAGACCTGTATTCTGTGGCAAGAATTAATTTTACCATCAGAAATACTAGCTAGTGTGTGAGCATGGGAGAGGGATGGGGACAGGGTCGAATAATTCTGTGCCTAATAGCTAATTCAAGTAACTGGGGTTTTTAGGTAAAAAGTCATAATAGTAATATATATATGTATATATATGTGAATATATGTGTATATATGTATGTATATATGTTGCATTTTAATACAAAGACATTAAGAATTTTATTTCATTTCCTGAAATGTTCACATGTCCAGTTTTATTCTGAGAATAACTCAACAGATGTCTAAATTGTTGATACTCTCCTAGGTTCCTCATAGAATATTAAATTAAAATTCAATAGATTAGTATTCATGCCTGAAGTCCTAGGAAATATAATTTTGTTTATTGGCAGCCCTAGTCAAACATGCTAGAAGACAGAATATTTATAATTCACTGGTTTTATTGACATTCACTCAAATTCTGTTGTTTTTAAAGATCAAGTTAAAGACTACACAGACCTTCAAAACTTAGCATAGCACAACTGGGATATCTCTCAAATAAAATAGGCATCAACAAGGGATAAGCAACTAACCACTTAATGTAAGACTTTATGCTTGCTTTTCCAGTTATATTTCTGAATTTTGCAAACTAATTTGTGTCCTTTTTTTGAATAAATTTCATTTCTATAGAGATGTCTAAAAATTATTTAGCAGACTACATTAAAAGAGAGTGGAGCTAACTTCTTAACATAGGTTAATATACTCAGTGCAACAAGCTGTGGACCAAGAAATCTTCATTTTCTAGCAAAATCATTTGACTTTGTGATTATTTTAAACTGTTTATACTTATTGCCAGGTTTAGTGACCAGAAACCAAATGTTAAAATCATTCTTGGATTCAATTTACATTTTAAATAATACCTACAATACAAGTTCCCTTTTAAGAACTAAGGTCTCTAACCTGTTTCTGGTTGAGGTCATAGTATAAATTTCTCCTCTTCAGGCCTTCTAGTGTCTTTCTAGACTTTCCTTTCTCCCTGTGTCTCCCACAGGCTTCCTTTCTCACCTGCCTCTACTTGTCAGTCTTCAAATCAGAGAAAATCAGGATCAATATCTGCTTTGGGAAAGACAGGAGATAGATCAGTCGAGGAGATCAACTGCATGGTTACCCAAGTGAGCAATTAATAGGGTAAAATTCCCAACTGCTTTAAGAAATCACTGCTTTTTGAGAGTCAAACACATCAGGTGCATATTTTTCAGTACTGTCCACTTTGGTGCAAACTTCAGGATATGGTGGTAGATATTTGTTGACTTCTGTCAATAGAAATTTAGCCACAGTCAATATGGGGAAAATTGACTAAATTACATGTTTCATTCATTCATTCAACAGCAAATACATTAAAGCCCGCTATGTATCAGACATGCTTTGAGGCTTGAAACACAAGATTCACAACAGAGGATAAAACTAGAGAAAGATATTCTAGGTAAGATCAACAGGAAGAACAAAGGTCTCCCAGCAAAAATGCATAAGGTAAGTGTGGGCAGTTCAGAAAATATAAAGTGATCGAAAGGAAAGAAAAGGAAACTGTAGGCAAATGAATTTAGTCTTTTACATTTAGTAAAGGAAGCTCCATGAGGACCTCTGAGCACAGTGGGGGCTGTATGTGTCATAGAGCACCAGACAGAAAGTTAGAAGGTCTTGGTTGTAGTGACTAGCCTGCCACTTTCTAAACCTATGTTTCCTCATTTACACACTCAGATATGTAAGATGTTCTGGAGGTGTCTTCCGGCAGAACAATTCTGCAATTCTGCATTTTCGAAAATGGGTCTACAGAAAGAGTAGGGATTGGGCTATGAGTTATGAGGCTCCTTGAAGTTCTAGGGGTGAGACAATAAGGATAAAGCGAGACTTCAGAGACAGGAAGGGAAGTTTGCCCCTGTGGTTGTTCAGGCTGTGCACTACAAATCTCTAGGGGTTGCTATTTGCATGAACTAAGATGACAAGACAGGTTAAGAGGTTTCAAAGTTCTTTGTGGTTGGATGGGCTGGAGGTGCAGGCTTGGAGATCTCCTGTAGGAAGAAGTCATGTGAGTTCAAGAGAATTCTTGTGGGAAAACCAGGGAGGCAGGAAGGAGGGGTGAATTTTGCAAGCATGTCTCCAAGAAGAGGAGCCAGGTCTTGTAACATTGAAAGGGAGTCATTCTCAGGGTCAAAGCTGAAACCATAAGAAGATACACAGAACCTGAAAGACCTCCATAACCATTAAGAGGGAAGAAGACTAGTTTCTAAAGCTCATAAAAATGTGTTCTGAAAAGGTATTAAGTACTGACTGAGGGCTAAAGGTCCAGCCCTGTGCTAAATACAGCAGATTCACAGGAAAATAAAACAAACGTATTTCCTGCCTTTATCAAGCTAGAGAAGACATTACATGAGGCTAGAGAAGACTAGACACTAAACAAATAATTACATATGTAACCCAATACATTTGTGAAAAGCAAAAGCATAATGTGTGATGACAGTAAAAGGTGGAATCCAGATCAGAGGACAAGGAAGGGTTCTGTGAGAAGATGACATTAGAGCAGGAACAGAAAGTTGAATAAATGTTAGAAGCAAAGTGAAAGGAGAGTGTGACATTAAATGGTAGCAATAAAAATGAAAAAAAATCTAGCTATATTAAAGAAATAGTTTGAATCTTTAATTTATCAGAGTTGGGGATATATTAGACTGAGGCAAAAGAAGATAGAAGATAGCAAGGATTTTTCCAAGGCTTCTGGCATAACAAACTGTGCAGATAGAGGTGCCATTTATTGAGATGGGGGACATGCAAAGAGAAGGAGATTTAGGATAGATTAAGAATTCAGTGTGAGGTATTAATTCCAAGTGACATTTGATATATCCAATTGGAGATATTAAGTAGGCAGTTAGGTCTGTGGGTCTGGAGCTAAGAAGAAGGGTCTGAGACAGATGTAAATTTAGAAGTCAGCAATATACAGTGGTATTACAAAACACAGGAACAGTCCAGATACTTAGGGGAGGGTGAAAACTGAAAGGGGAAGAATCACAGGGCAATTGTGAGAATATAAAAATGTTCTAAGTGCCAGAGGAAGAAATTGTTGCAAAGAGTCTGGGTCAGTTTTATCGACTATGGCAGAGAAGGTATGAGAAACACCTACAGATTTATCTGCTCAGAAATACTCCTTTCTTTTATTTTTATTTTTATTATACTTTAAGTTTTAGGGTACATGTGCACAACGTGCAGGTTTGTTACATACGTATACATGTGCCATGTTGGTGTGCTGCACCCATTAACTCATCATTAACATTAGGTATATCTCCTAATGCTATCCCTCCCCCCTTCCCCCACCCCACAACAGGCCCCAGTGTGTGATGTTCCCCTTCCTGTGTCCATGTGTTCTCACTGTTCAATTCCCACCTATGAGTGAGAACATGCGGTGTTTGATGTTTTGTCCTTGCGATAGTTTGCTGAGAATGATGGTTTCCAGCTTCATCCATGTCCCTACAAAGGACATGAACTCATCATTTTTTATGGCTGCATAGTATTCCATGGTGTATATGTGCCACATTTTCTTAATCCAGTCCATCATTGTTGGACATTCAGGTTGGTTCCAAGTCTTTGCTATTGTGAATAGTGCCGCAATAGACATACATGTGGATGTGTCTTTATAGCAGCATGATTTATAATCTTTTGGGTATATACCCAGTAATGGGATGGCTGGGTCAAATGGTAAGAAATACTCCTTTCTAACCCTAATCTCTTTTCTGAGAGATTCCTCTTCATCTATAGCAGTATTGTCCAATAGAACTTCTTGCGATGATGGAGATGTTCTATATCTGTTCTAAGAGAGCAGCTAATAGCCACACTTGGCTGCTGAGCACTGGAAGCATGACCAGTGTGGCTGAAGATTTTTAAATTTTATTTAATTTTACTTAATATTTAAATATAAATTGCCACATGTGACAAGTGGCTACTGTATTAGGCTATGCAGTTGTAGATTTAATTATCACCCAGAGTTGTAGCCAGAATACTACACACTTCACAGTACCACACACACGTTCTAGTCACAGCCAGGGGCACCTGACTCAAGCTTTCTCAGGATGTATGGGCCTGAGGAGAGATTCAGACAGTCTCCTTGGTTATTTGGATGGTAGGATGTGAAAATCAATGGCTATTGGCAGCCATACTCTCTGCCATGTAGACTAAATATCTAGAGAAAGTTAAACTATAAAGGAAAAGAAGGAAGAAAGACACAAACACACAGAAAGTCCTGAGGGAGTCCCTCCTTCTCATTAGTTCTGATGTCTGGCCAAACCCGTCTCTGGTTCTCTGAGAATGTCATATGGTGGAAATGTGAGTCAGATGATAAGATATTTGGAGGGAGGAATTGTGATTACATGAAAATGCTGAGTGAAAACCACTATCTCAAGGAGTTGATAGGTGAGTGAAAAGAGAACTGCAGTTAGCCCTTTATATCCACAGGTTCCACATCTATAGATTCAACCAACAGCAGATGAAAGATATTTGGAAACATGAAAAATATAATACAACTATAAAAATAATAAAAACTGGCCAAGTTCAGTGGCTCACACCTGTAATCCCAACAATTTGGGAGGCCAAGGCAGGCGGATCACTTGAGGTCAGAAGTTTGAGACCAGCCTGGCCAACATGGTGAAACCCTGTCTCTACTAAAAACACAAAAATTAGGCATGGTGGTGCACTCCTGTAGCCCCTGCTACTCAGGAGGGCGAGGCACGAGAATCTCTTGAACCAGGAAGCAGAGGCTGCAGTGAGCAAGATTGCTCCACTGCACTACAGCCTGGGTGACAGAGCAAGACTCCATCTCAAAAATAAATAAAATAATTAATTAATTTAATTAAATAATAATTAAAACAGCACAGTATAACAACTATTTACATGGTATTTATATTGTGCTAGGTGTTATAAGTAATCCAGAGATGATTTAAATCGTATGGGAGGATGTGCATAGGTTATAGTAAACACTGCGCCATTTTAGATAAGGGACTTGAGCATCCCCAGATTTTGGTATCCTCAGGGGTCCTGAAACGAATCCCCTGTGGATATCAAGGGACAACTGTACATTAAATTATTGTTGTCTGTGGCACTTGTGTTCTATGAAGTTGCCAGATTCACTGAATTAGCAAATACTGTTTTCACTGCTGCTCAGAGAAATCCTGGCTTAGGGTTGTGCAAGCCTCTGGTCACATTTTCATCAACTTTCAGACGGTCCACCAGTCTACTTGGTTATTGTGTGCTTCTGGTTAAGAATTCTTTATTTAATATATATTGTTGATTCATTAAAATTGAACTCATGGCCAACAGCATTATAACCCATGCCTGAACCAAGCTTACCTAACACATATTTTTTTCCATAAGGTACTTCACAGCCTTATTGCATTTAGGAACACCAAAGAGCACTTCAGAACTATGCTTGGGAGCCATTTTAAATGGCAAAATCTTCAACAAAAAGCACAAAAGTGTTAAAAACATGGCAGTAAATCAACTGTGAAAAGGACACTCGTTTACAGTATGAGAGCTGAAACAAGAAGGCAGTGTCACCTTGTCCTTCCTCAGCTGGGAACATGAGTAACTCAATTTTACTCATGCTGCTGATAAAGACATACCTGAGACTGGGCAATTTACAAAAGAAAGAGGTGTATTGGATTTACAATTCCACGTGGCTGGGGAGGCCTCACAATCATGGAGGAAGGCATGGAGGAGCAAGTCACATCTTATGTGGATGGCAGCAGGCAAAGAGAGTTTGTGCAGGGAAACTCCCGATTTTAAAACCATCATATCTCATGAGACCCATTAACTATCACTAGAACAGCACAGGAAGGACCTGCCCCATGAATCAGTCATCTCCCACCAGGTCCCTCCCTCAACACGTGGGAATTATGGGAGCTACAAGATGAGGTTTTGGTGGGGACACAGAGCCAAACCATATCAGCTCATGTCTTCAAATGACTACGAGAAACCACGCACATGGATTTGGGGGATACACATAAATTTTGAGTAGGTAAATATGCAAATACAGAAGGTGTGAATAATGGAAATGGACTGTAATAGTAGTGCCCATTTTACAATGTGCCAGGAATTTTTCTGAAGCTCACATATATTTAATTTTCATAATAACCCTCTAATACATGACTTTTATGAAAATGAAATACATTAATATATACTAAAGCTTTTTTTTTTTTTTTTTGAGACGGAGTCTCACTCTGTCGCCCAGGCTGGAGTTCAGTTGTGCGATCTTGGCTCACTGCAAGCTCCACCTTGCGGGTTCACGCCATTCTCCTGCCTCAGCCTCCCAAGTAGCTGGGACTACAGGTGCAGGCCACCATGCCCAGCTAATTTTTTGTATTTTTAGTAGAGATGGGGTTTCACCATGTTAGCCAGGAAGGTCTTGATCTCCTGACCTCGTGATCTGCCTGCCTCAGCCTCCCAAAGTGCTGGGATAGTAAAGCTTTTTATTAGAAACAATGTAATGATATTTATTGTGCTTCATAAGTATAAAAAAATGAAGACAGAGATTTCTCCAAAGTAAGTCAATAGGTAGTAAACTCCAGATAACTCCTCTGTAACCCACATCCTTAATCATATTATAATACCATCTGTGTAAGCCATTGCATAGGAGGCAGAACTAAAGAATTTGCTCTAAGAAGCCTTCTCATCTACAGGGCAGTTCCAAGCATGGACCCTGAGGTCATCATTGAACATTCTGGTCAAGCTTTATTCATTTAATTGACAGAAATTGGGCATCTACTACGTTGTAAGCATAATTCTAGGCACTAGGGACAAAGAACAAGATAATGAACAGCACGATGTTTTTGCCTTCATAAAATTTGCATCAAGATAGACACAGGAAATAAACACATATATAATTTCATATAATGATAAGGGCGGTAAGAGAAACAAAGCAAGTTAGAAGAGCAAAGGAAGTGTTACTGACCCTCCCAGGAGGTTATTGGATCCTAATGGGTTCTTTCCCTGCCCAGTGTCATTTGTGCCAATAGAACCAGACCAGGTTAAGTAAAGCAGAACAGAAACTTTACTCGTGATCAAAGAATGATGAAGGGGAGGGGAGCTCGTGCTCAAAGCACCATCTCCCTGGAAGTCAAGTAGAGGGAGATTTAAAGGGCTCCCAGGACAGGTAGGTGGAGACTGGGGCAGGGATTCCTGGAAAAACGTGGGCTCTTCCAGGAGGGAAAAGAGTGTGTGCAGTCATGTCTTTTTGTTTGCACCCAGCACCTTTTGTGCCTAACAAGGTACATTTCTCCCTGCTGGGTGGAGATTTTAGTATGGTAATGAAGCAAGAAATGAGTTCAGTGCACCTATGCAAGAGTTCAAGTCAAGGCAGCACTTCTGCACTTAGTTGGTCTTGTGGCTAACTCGCAGTTTCTGGCATTCTGCTTTCTTATCTGTAAGCAAGCACAGCTGCAAGCACAAGTTAGTTTCACAGGTTTTGGGGTCTCCTGAGAGCATCTAGACCATGCTATGGTAATAGGTGACAGAAGGCCTCTCTGAGGAGGCAACATTTTTGCTGAGACCTAAAGGAAGTGAGGAAACTATAGGCAGAAATATCTTGAAGAAGAGCACTCCAGGCAAAAGGAACAGCAAGTGCAAAGGCCCCGAATTCGAAACAAGCTTCGGATAGTGTGAGGAACAGCAAGACGGCTAGGGTGGAAGGGGCAAGGAACTCAGTGAAAGACAAAAAGTGAAAGAATTAGGCAGTGCCAGTTCATATGGGATCTTAGCAGTCATGGTAAGGAGTTTGGATTCTAAATGTGTCAGTAAGTCCTTAGAGAGTTTTGAGCAGGGAAAATAAGTCATATGACAAGTTGGTACAAGATCCCTGGTGTAGAGAATGGCCTGCAGGAGAGCAAGAGTAAAAGCTGAGACACCATTTATAGGCTCAGGAGGGAGAGCAGGGTTCATCTGAGAGTCAGCAGTGGAGGAAGTGAGAAGCAGGTAGTTTCAGAACATATTTGAAAAGCAAAGCTTTAAATGTGGAGTGTGAGGGAAAGAGAGGAATCAGGAACGTCTCCATGGATCTGGGCCAGACTCCTAGGTGATTGATTGTTGGAGTCTTTTGCTAATTGGGAAGACAGTGATAGGAAAAGAGTTGAGGAACAGGAGAATCCATAGTTTTCTTCAGACTTTCACTGTGTTTTACTAAATCCTAGGTTCTAGGGTTGGGTTTTTTCTTAAAGAAAAAAAAAAAGAGTTAATTTCTGGGTCTCCTGGGAAAGATTGCCCTTGACACATAGGAATAAATAACTTTGGGTATTAACTGAAACCCCCATTTAAACCTTATCTGAACACTAAATATAATCTTGTTCATTACATAAATAAAAACTGAAGGCTTATGTTACAATTTGCCTGTCCCTATATACACACATGTACAAACATGGCTAAATGAAGACACTTGACAGTTACAGAAAACCCTGACAAGGAACGGTAAACAAATTAGCTTTGCTGAGAAATACAGCTTGCACTCATCCAAAGCCTGCAATGAAAAAAAGTCCAGACGAAATCAGCAAGTATATTAGTTAAAAAAAAAAAAGAAGAAGAAACAAACAAAAAAAGGAAATATTTTGGTCAACTATTTACCCCAAAATGGATTCAAAAACAAACTAAAAATAATTCTCTAAATTCCAATACCTCAAGTTCACCACATTAGTTTCTACAAGAACCAAACTCATTTCCTGTTTTATCCATAGGAGGAAACATTTTTTTCTCCTGCAGACATTTTAGTGGAATATATGAGCCTTTGCACAAGACTGAGACTCATATGATTTTCCTCTCTGTTCTCGTAGAAATTAAAAACAGACTGAAAGCCACAGGGCCGTGACTATTATAGGTCTAAATCAGATCTTAAAATAGAGTAAAGGAAGTGAAGCAAGGCTTAATAATCAGCATAATGCAACATAATATTTAGTGTTTTAATAGGACATCTCTGTTCATTAATGCATTCAACAATTATTTTTGAGACCCCATTATGTTTCAGGCACTGTACAAGGTGCTCAGCACACACCAATGAATAAACCCATCTCACTTCTTGCCTGTGTAGTACTTATAGTGTAACACTGATAGTAATAAAACATTTATCTGAAACAACTTTCAGAGCCGCCAAGACCAGAACCTCTGCACTCCCCTTAGAACAGATTTCTCAAGCTCAGAGCTGTTGACATTTTGGACTGGAAAAGTCTTTGTTGTGGGGCTGTCCTGTGCATTACAGGATGTTTAGCAGCATCCTTGGCCTTCACTTACTAGATGCCAGTAGCACTCTTTCCCCCTCATTAGTGACAATCAAAAAATGTCTCCCTACATTGCCAAATATCCCCTGGGGAGAAAAATTCGTACCTATGTGAGAACCACTGACTTTAGAGGATGGTGAAAGCAATAAAATTCTGTCTTTTTCTGAGATCTCCTCATTCATTCCAGAAAGGTGCCTTTGCCAAATGAGAAGTTCTAGGTTAATGTGGAGGGACCAGCCAGTCCGAATAGGCTGAATTGGATTTAGAAGGCATCAGAATCAACTTTCAAAATATAAAGGCAATAACTGTTTCCGATGAGAAAAATACCAATTTTCAGGGTATTCATTTATTCAACGAAAATGTTACTAAATGCCTACTCCTCTATGTGCCAGGCACAATTATAGGTGCTGTGGATAGTGAACAAAACACAACAGAATTCCAGTCTTTGTGTAGCTTATAGTGACAGAAGGCATACAAGTAAGTAAAATGTCTATAGTATGTGAGAAGGAAATATTTTTAGGATATGGATAAATAAAAGCAGGGAAAGGGGATCAGTAGAGGAGGATAATTCAATTTTTGTAAGGTGGTCATCTAAAATAAAAGCCCCAAAAGACATAAGGTGAAAGTCATGCAAATATCTTTATTTAAAAAAAGAGAGAGTGTTCCAAGCAGAGGGAGCAGTAAGTGCAAAAGCCCTGAGGTAGAAGCTTGCTTGGTAAAGGGCTGGAATGATGTGAGCTAGATTGAATGGTAGGAGATAAAGTTAGGCAGTTAATGGGAGACATATTTTATTGAAACTTTTAGGCCATTGTAAGGACTTTGATTTTTCACCACAAAAGATTTCAAGGGGTGGTCAACAAATATTTTCAGTTGTCCTTCCATGCATATAGAGGATTATATTTTCCTGCACCCTTAAAGTTAGGTGTGACTATGTGTGAGAGACTGGGTTAGTGCTCCAATTCTTCCACCCTTTCTTTGCTTTCACACCCTTGCCTGGCCTCACTATAGACAGAATATAGTTCTCTGACTCTTGGTTGTAGTTTTGGCCATGGGGCTTGCTTTGGACAACAGGATATAAGTACACATGATGCATGCAAGGGTTTGAGATATGCTTGCCCAGTGGGGCTTTCTCTCTTGAATTTCTGCCACCACCCCCAAAAAAACATGTCTTGGCTAGCTTGTTGAATCTAGGAGAAAGATGAGAAACATGGTGAGCAGAGCTGCCCCAGAGGACATGCAGCTTCAAGCAGACCACCTAGTCTAGCCCAGTCTAAATCACTTGACCCCCAGCCAGCCTGGAGAGGCATGACAAACAAATGCTTATTGTTGCATGCACTGATATTTTGTGGTGGTTTGTTGCACAGCACGGTACCTCACTTTAGCCATTAAAATGAGAGTGGAAGTGAGATGTGTCAAGTCTGGGTGGGAGTAAAATCTTTAAGAGTCACTGCATATTGCCTAGTCCCCTTCTCCCTATTACAGAGAGGATGGAAGTACATGTCAAGGCAGAGCCTCTACTACCCTAGTTCGCTGAGTGACTGTGTTTAGCAGAGCCCTTCATTACCCACACTAAACATATTGCCTGAGAAAGAAAGAAAAAATCTGTGGTGTTAGCTAACGTTGTTTCTATTTTTGATACTGCAGCATAATGTTGTTTGACTGATACATGAAATCTCCATATGATTTTGAGGTAAGGAATGACATGATTTGTCTCATATGTAAACGACTTTGGCTATGTTGAGAATAGACTGAAGTGGGTAGGGGCAGAGGCTAGGAGACAAACTGGAAGGTGGTTATTGCAACAGTAATGCTGTCAAGAGATGATAGTGGCTGGGAACACTGTAGTAGCAGCAGGGAAGGTAACAAGTGACCAAATCCTAGACATATTTTTAAAAATAGAACTGCCAAATTTTGTTTACGGATAGGCAGGATGGGAGAGACAGGATGGAATCAAAGATGACTCTAAGGTTTTGGGGTTGAGAGAAGTTTGATAGAGTTGCCTTTAATTAAAATGGAGACTATTGTGGCAGGACAAGGTTTGGCTATAGGGGGAGATCTGGAGCTTAATTTTGGACGTGGTAAGTTAGAGGTGCCTATTAACCATGTGTGTAGAAAAGTCAAGTCAACAGTTGGATTTACCAGTCCAGGGTATGGAGATGTGATTTGAAAGTTTGTTGGTATATAAGAGATTGCATTTAAAGCCAAGCGATTGGAGGAAATCACAAAGGGAGTGAGAGTAGACAGAAAAGAGGCTCAAAGATTGAGCCCTGGGGCATCTTTCATTAAGAGGTCAGAGACCTTGAACCTAGGAGGCGGAGGCTGCAGTGAGCCGAGATGGCGCCACTGCACTCCAGCCCAGCGACAGAGCGAGACTCCGTCTCAAAAAAAAAAAAGAAGGTCGGAGAATAGCAAGAAACCAGCAGGAGCAGCCAGTGAGGTTGCAGAAAACTGATTTATGTGAGGTTGTGCTAAAGTGTCATGCATTTGCCTGGCCAGGTGCTTTCTTCAGCGTTTTCCACCTGGCTGTCTCCAAGAAGGCTGATCTTAATGAAACTGATTTCCATTCCGTCCATTGTCTGCTTGGGTTTGGCCAGTGGGAAGGAGCCCCAATAGAAGATTAGAAAGAAAGGAATGAGATTAAATCAGTGGCTCTTTAAAATCACCTGCAAGGGTTGTTAAAGTACTAAGCCCCACCCCCAGTTTCTGATTCTTATCTAATTATTGGATAAGACTTGTGGATTTGCATTTCTAACAAGGTCTCAGGTGATGTTGCTGGTCTGGAGGCAACATTTTGAGAACTATTAGGTTAGGGAATGTATTCACGATTCCTTCCCTGTACAATTGCCTCAGCCTGGTTGTGACCAGAAAGCCACTGCTCCTCCCCAGTTGTCCTGCAGTGTATGACTCTGTTTCCTCTGGAATTTCAGAGGAATTTTTTTCCTGCCCTCATCTTTTCAAAGGTGGTGAAAGTTCTATTCCTGATGGCCCCAAATTCCTGCCCTATCACCTGTTCTTCCTCTACGCCACACTTGCGCCTTGGTAAGTTGTCTCTTTGTAAATAGACTCTCCTTGAACTATCTTAATTTGACTGAGCTATCTGTGTCACTGATATAGAAGTCCTGAAAATAAATAGACATTTTTAAAAAGCACATTTGGCCATTTAGAAATAACTGTTGGATTCAGCATGGAGAGGTCATTAGTACAATACTGCAGACAAAAGCTGTTGGGGTTCATTTGAGAAGCAATAGTAGGATGTATATATATATCTGTAAATTATCCCTGTTCCCATAAAAATCCTAAGTAATGTGTCAAACAATGACTCTGAGACCCTGAGTCATCCATGGTACAATTTGCTAAACATTTAACCAGATACTAAAGACATCTACGTGGCGTCCTTCATCCTGTTCTTCTCCTAACATCAAATGAGTTAGAAAATCTTATAAATCAATGTATTGCAGTGGCTCACAAACTTTAGAATAAGAATCACCTGGAAGGCTTGTTAAATCAGTGTGTTTGGCTCCAGCCCTGGAGATCTGATTCAGTAGGTCTCCAATTTGCAGGTCTCACAAGTTCACAGGTGATGCTAATGTTACTGTTCATGGGATCACACTGAAAATCACTGATCTAAAAGAGGTATTTTCCTATCTTACCTTTCCTTTCTATCACTAGCCAGTACAGAGCCTCATAACATTTACCCAAATTGCCACCACATTCTTCCAATTCATCTCCCTGCTTTTAGCTTTTCCCCTCTCCCTTCCTAATCAGCCCCCTACAAGCCTGCCTAAGAGACCTTTCTGAGATACACAATGTATTATATTATTTCCTTGCTTACAAGACAAGGATCCTTGTCCATGGTCTTTAGCATAACCTTCCACTCTCACCTTTCACTATTTCCCATTCTTACCATACTCCATGCATGCTGAATTATTCATAGGTCCCTGAATACAATTATGCCTCACACATGGCATTTTCCTATCTCTGGAAGGTCCTTCATTCCTGCGGGTCTCACCCTCCCTTAGTTTTCGGGCCGTGTGGACGCCTCTCCTCTGGGATGCCCTTGCATAAACTGCAGGTCACATAGCCCAGACTCTGTGGCCCACTCATTGCAATGGTGAGTCATCCTTCCTGACTCCTGGGTGGCCAAGTCTCTTGGGTCTGTGTCTCTAGTGTTCAGTACTGATTCACAGGACAGCAAGCCCTCAACCACTATTTGTTGAATAATGAATAAAGGGTTCTGTATTATGTCATAAAATCGGGCATTGTAGTAAGAATTTCAATAAAGTTTGAAACACAAACCATTTTCTAGTTAACCCGCAATTAACTGGAAAATTCAATGAACCATAACAATATATTGGTCTCTGATTAATTAATATTTCAGTGAGCTAGTAATGACATAGGAGTCGTAAAAATTAAAGAGGGGTGGATAAACCCAGCTCATATCCTTAGACTTTGGAAATTCTCAGTAATGTGCTGTCAAATATTAATATAGATATATTGCCTTCAGGATTCAATTTGACTAAATCCATAAATTTTGTGACACAATTCCTGCCTTTTTTTTTCCTTTTCATGTTGCAAGGACTTTTATTGGGAGAATTAAATAAAAACAAACTGTTAACTAACCATACTTTATGAAGTTTATAAACTCATCAAAAAATTCCTGACTCTACCTAAGTATATGTAATTAACCACATCTCAATAAATGACAACCCCATTGCAATATTTAACAACTTTCAGAAGTTAAGTTCTCACTAGTTGTTTTGTGGTGGAACTGGTCTTGGAAGTGAAGGACACTGAATGTTTTCCTCTTATTGAACAAAATCACCTACAATGAAGGCATGAATCAACTAGTCTAATGTTAGACAAGAAGTAAAACCCAGAGTGGGCCCAGAGGCACAGGGGGTGCATGTTCTGGTCCTGTGTGCAGTTCCCTTCCTCAGTACATACCCTCGACATGTGGCTATTGTACATCTTTGTTCTCCAGACGTGTCTTAAAATTCATAAGGTGAATCCATTGCCTAAACATGTACCTTGATTGTAATTTTATGTCAGAACTGGGAGGCACAAAAGTCAGAGAGCTTCTGAAAAATCCTGTGCCAGGGACTTCATGAAGCAATAGATCTGAAAGTCAGAAAATGGAACTCTCAAGACATAAGAATAAGATGAGTAGGAGAAATCAAGCCTCAGGAATCCAGTGGCTTATGTGCTAGAGTTCATCATCTGGTTTTCTTTTAAACGTATCCATATCCCTTTGCATGTGTGTGTGTGTGTGTGTGTGTGTCTGCATGTGTGTGTGATCTCTGGCTTCACAGGCCAACAGTGGGTCTCATCCTCTACTTGGAAAAGTTAGTAAGGTAAAGGTTCGAAGTCATCTTTAAAAAATGGAAGAACAACATTGAATGCTGAAGTTGTTTATTTGTCCAACAAAACGTGGTGTCAAACATCTTATGAGAACTACTAGGTTTAAGGAGTTTCAAAATTATTTTGAGTCCTTTAATCATTTTTCCTACCTGCTATGTGATTCATCACCATTTCAAAGAAGCTCCCTCTTCAAAACTCATCTTGTATGAACAGTTGCAATTTTTCTGTGAGATAGCACTCACCATTTCAAGGAAAAGAAGCAAGTCACCTTTTGCTAAAGCACAAAGCAAGGTTATCTCTCCAGATAGAATATATTCTTAGGAATATTGTGTCTCTGTATTACTGATGAAATGCAGATGTGTTAAGCTGTCAGTATTTTCATAGTCAACCAATCTTTCTTTAATGAAGATAGCTTAAAATGCTTATGAAAGAGTAAAAATTCAATCGTTGACATTATATATTTATTTGGAATAATTCCACAAATGACCAGGACCAAGCATTTAATTTGTAGCAAGGCTAATGGTTGTGTTAAAGTTTGTCTGAGAAGAGACAATGGCTAGAGACCAAGGGTGTGGGGGAGTTGGCAACTTATCAAGGTTGTATTGTCAGGGGTCTAGTTGTCATGTCTGGAAACTATTGTTGGTAAAAAGTGTGTTTGTATTACTTCTGTTAAAAATGGGCTTACGAGAAACAAAAATTGATGATTAAGTAAAATGTAGCTTCATTGAATGTAAATTATGTTATGTAAGGTAGGTATTGTCAATATAATTTAATAACATGTATGTTTTTGGTCAGTTGAAATCTTGGGTGTATATATTGGATGGTAATATTGAGGACAGTATGGAAGGGAGAATAGTAGGAGCTCTGAGGAAAGGGAATGAAACAGGGAACTGAGTGAGGAGTATGGTTCCCAGGTAGAAGAGGCCAGTCCGGGAAAACTGCCCTGTGATGACTGTTTGTGTTCCTCCAAATTTCACATGTTAAAGTTCTAATCCCCAGTGTGATCATATTTGAAAGTGGGCCCTTTGAGAGGTGATTAGGTCATGATTATGGAGCCCTCATGAATGGGATACATGCCCTTATGTCTTAGTCATTTTGATTTGCTATAATAATAGTACCATAGACTGGGTGACTTAAAAGAAATTTATTTCTCACAATTCTAGTTCTGGAAGCTGGAAAGTCCAAGATTAAGGTACCAATTTAGTTCCTGGTAGGAGGCTTCTTTCTGATTTACAGATAAATGCCTTCTTGCTGTTTCCTCACATGGCAAAAATAGAGATTATCTCTTCCTTGTCTCTCCTTATAAGGGCACTAATCCCATTTATGAGAGCCCCACCCTCGTGACCTAATTACCTCCAAAAGGCCCCACCTCCTAATACCATCACATTGAGTATTGGGCTTCAACATATGAATTTGGGGGAGACACAGTCATTCAGTCCATGACACCTTATAAGAGACATGAGAAAGATGATCTCTCCCCCTCTGCCATGTGAGGACACAGCAAAGAAGCATCCTTCTACCAACTAGGACAAGAGCCCTCACTAGACACCAAATCAACTAGCACATTCATCATGGACTTCCCAGTCTCCAGAACCATGAGAAATAAATGTTTCCTGTTTAAGTCACCCAATTGATGGTATTCTGTTATAGTAGCCAAAACTGACTAAGACATGCCCCAAGTCAGGCTTTGGACAGCAACACTTCTGTTTATGTGGCCAAATAGGAATCCAGGGCTCTCATAGACTGAAAGAAATCATCTTACTTTCTATAGACTGAAGATGGTAAAATGTGTGAGAAGAATACTACAGACTAAACAAAACAAAAACTTATTTTGGAGGGGTTGGGATGGAAGAAAGGATGTAGGAGAGCCTCAATGCTGCCTTTAAACTGAGCAGGGCTAACAAGTACTATATGACACCTGTCATTTACCAGATTTCCCTCTGATGACTTTTCCAACCTGCCCACAAATCTTAGTCAGAGTAAATAGATGTTGGTAAAAACAGTGAACACAACTAGAAATGTGGAAAAGGAAAAACACATTCCTATCCCTGCTGGCCCCATCCCAGGGAACTAGAGGCATGCAGTTTTTAAGAAACAAGGAAAATTTATCCCATTTCCCCAACAGTATAGATTGACAGCCCCAAGATCTCCACAATAGTGCTTTTTCGTTTAAGGCACCTGAAAGAAGACATTGCAGTACATACCTCTGTGAACAGGAGCCAAAAGCATTCAAGACTAGTAATTCTCACCATGGTTCCAAGCAATAAAAGCTAACATGTATTGAGTATGTGCTAGGAGCTAAGTACTTCATATCATCAATTCATTTAACCTTAATACAAACCTTATTATTTTACTGTGCCCATTTTAAAGATGAGGAAAATAGGAAACAAAAATTTTAAGTCACAAAACTAAAAAAACTCAAAGCTAGAAACCCAGGATGTCTGGTTTCAGGGTGTACTCCTCTAACTACTGTGCTAGACTATGGCGTAGGTCTTTGAGAAGAGGTCATTCCTCTGGTATCTGTTGCTTGCTTGGGGAATATGTAGAATTAGATTTAATACAGTAGAATGCAGACCAAAACTGAGAGTCATGAATGATGTTCATGCAGCCACAGTTTGTGCTCTTGTTCTGATGTGTAGTCTGGCTCACACACAATACTCCATTTCATGTCTTCCAATGTCCAGCTGAATGTCACTAACTCACAAAGTCTTCTTTGTCCTCTCTGCCCTCACCTTCTGGATTGATCTTTCATTTGTGCTGTCATAGCATTCTCTAAAAACCTTTACTTCCTACAGCATTCATGACATGGCATCCTTAGTATCCATTCACTTATGTGACTCACTGTGCTCTGTTCCTTCTAAGGTAGAGATCTTATCTTTCTTATCTTTGAATTCCTGATGCCTAATACAGTGTGTGACAAATAATAGGTTCCTAAGCAACTGCATTAATTAAGCAATCAATTAAATGCCCTAAAAATCCTTGTCTGTCTTGGCACTTGAGTCACTAGGATTGTATTTCACTAACTGGACACTTTATCTAGATGTCCATAAGAAGAATAAACGCAGGGGAATTTTTTCTTTCCTACCTGGAAGTTGGAGGACAAAAAGGCACAACTTATTTCAACTATGATAATGTGATTCACCACTGATCGTGACTGCTTGTAACTAATGTCTTTATTTGCTGCTGGAGTATAAGCTCTCTGAAGGTAGAAGTCTCAATTTTTTCTTGGTCAATGCTGTGTCTCAAGGCCTGAGGCAGTGACTGGCACACCTTGTGTGGAGTGCAGAATAACTCTTAACTAAGAGTCAGAGACCTAGGTTTACATCTTGACCCTGCTTCCAACTTTCCACAAAACCTTGAGAAAACCTTACTCATTCTGGCCTCAGTTTTCTTCCCTTCAAAGTAACAGTCAAGATCAAGAAAATTGTACTTTTCATTTTTTTTGAAGATGTAGACATTGCATGGCTCTAAAGCTATACATTCATGAAGCAGGTGGTTGTGGTGGAATGGTCAAAAATACTCCCTGGTCACTGAGCAATGACCATTGTCAGTGAGATGTAGCCCCTGCTGATTGTACTGTCACTCCAGCTGTCTTTGGAGGTAAATATTAACAGTATACTCATTGGAGAGCAGAGCTGGTGGCAGTAACTGGCTTAGGATTACACAGATGATGGTGACCCATTGACAGGGGAACACTTTAAATTAGATTATCTGTAGAGACCTTTCCAGTTCTCAATATCTCTGAATCTATAATGTATGCAACTGAAATGAGAGATAAAAACAGATTGGAGGTAACTAGAATCCAACCACTGAAATGTTACTTCAAATGGTGATGAGTGAATATGATGCTATTTCTACTTGTTCCAAACTCTCATTTTTCATTTGAAGTCACTCTAAGCTTGGGACAAAGGGAAAAATCCCTACTTCTCTTGTTTGTCTATCATAGATACAATTTACACAAAACTCGAAAAGTACAGGGACACCTGAGCCTTTTCTTTTATTCTGCCTAAAACTTCAAGCTCAGAAAGGCTGAGGCTGGAAAAGCATTCTGGGATTGATATGCAAATGAGAACACCAGGCTTCACACTTGGCAGCTTCATATTCCTGTGAAGTGGAATTTTTTTGCTTTGAAAGCAGTGTTGAAAGATTGCAAGAGGTGTATGTGTGATGTCAACTATTTGTATTCCACTCATGTTTTCTGAAAAGACTCAGGTCTTGAAGACCCGTAACGTGTAGAATAACCATAGCCAAAATTTTCATCAGCTTCATTTCCAGCTGCTCAGCGGTGCAGCTGATATGCAACCTCTGAATGCAGCAGCAGTCATTGAGTTCCTTCCACAGAGCGCTGGAGATAAAACAGCTGCAATGCTCTCCCACTTCTCACACTCCCAGGAGAGGGGAAAGCCATAGAGAAGTGACAAACCAGTCACGAGCTAGTGAACACTAACACACAGCTGCAAATTCTGCAGCCTAAGCAGCATCTGGTGCTATCTTTCATAAGGAGATTGTTGTTTTCATAAACTGAATACTGTTCTCTGAGCATCATGGATAGAAATGTAGGTAAGAAATTTTCGGATAGTGCTTTATTTAGGGCATATTTCCTTAAGTCCCCATACTTTGTAAATATAGTACAAAACCTAAAATATACAACTGCTTTGGAAAAAAGGCAGGTTCAAGTGATAATAGAGAAATATAACTGTAGCCAGGGTCATTATAAAATTTTAATTTGTGTATTAACTGTAGGAAGCTTTGAGATGCCTATTTGTGTTCCAGGCAGCCAATGTGTACATATTTCTTGCAACCTGTGGGGAGCAGGTGAAAAGGAATGTGGTACTTTGCTGCATCTGACCACAGATGCTAAAGAGGTGAAGGACTCTCTACTACCATACCAGGGCACAGCATCCTGGTGATGAGGGGCCAGTCTAGAGTGTTATAACATGTGGCATAATGTAGGCTTGATTTTCTAAAGAAATTATGGAGGCTTAGGAGAATTTCATTATTTTAAAGCTGTATGGTACTGCAGCTCTCCCTGAGAACTCCTTGGAGACACTGCTTTTGAGAGCATAAGACTGCAGTCTAATTGCAAATGGGTCTATTTGTTGAGGAGAGACCTTCTAGGACCAGATGGTAAATGTGAATATTGGGAACTATTTTGAAATGTAAGTGAGCCCTGGGGCTGTGATGGAACAGCCAGTAGGAGAGGGTAGCAAGAGCCATTCAAGGAGACAAGTTTAAGATATTAGTGGGTATCCAAGGTGATAAAGAACACTTCCAGAACATCCAGACCCCATCTGCCTAAGGGATTTCCAGAGAGAGCTCCACGCCAAGAGGATCCCATTCTTAAAGGGAAGATGCATACCCACTCTTCTTGATCAGGAGCACTCTGGAGGAGGGGAGCAGTTCTGCTACCAGAAAAAGGAAGATAGTGACCAGGAGGGCTGGAGATCCAAGAACTTTAGGAAGTGGTAAGGGATGTGAATAACAGCCCCATGAAATTCATCGAGGGGGAGGGGTTGAAGAAGTTGATGAATATCAGAAAGATTTGGAGGTAGACTAATGAGTCCTTTTTATGTTGTTGAAGTAGATATTTTAAAACAGATGAGACTTTAGAAGGTGTTTCAATAATTGTTGATGAATCCTATGCTTGCTCTCATCTAATCATACACACACAAACATTATTTGACAATGACAAGCACGAGGTCTGGACATAGTCATTTGCTTCCCCCAACCAGTGTAAACTGCTACCCAAAGTAATTTATTCCTATGAACAAAGCCCGAACAAGGTTTAACACAGACCTGCACTGGGAAAACCTTACTCGTGACCAGGAGTATGCATCAGTCAATGAATTAAAGTATCGTGGTCTCTTACTATTTGCCAAATACAGAAGTTAATATGTCGAGTACACAGAACTGCTCTTGAAGCCTTTATAATTTTGTTGGTATAGATCAGTGACTCTCAACACTGGTTCTACATGAGAATCACCTAAGTCATTTTGAAAAACACAGTATTTGTCCCAGAAATTCTGATTGAATTAGTTCAGTGAAGGGCCTATATATCTGTATTTGTGAAGTTCCTCAGGAAATTCTGGCATGCAGCTCTGTTTGAAAACCATTGACATAGTTCATCTCCTAATTAGTCTCTCACTCTACAATTTCCTCCGTACTCTGCCATCAGAGGATTTTTCTCTTCAAATCACACCAAAGTTCCGTGTTTAAAATCTTTAATAGCTTCCTACCACATGGCAAAATAAATTTAAATTCTAACCTGGCATTCAAGGACCTTAGAAATGTACTCCCAATCTAGCTTTTCAGTTTTGTATTTTATCATATTCCATGAAGCTATAGAATTCAACTTAATAAATCAGTTCTTGCAAACAGCATGAGCTTCTTGATGCCTCAGCAATTGTTCCACACTCTTCTTCTGAAGTGCCCTTCTTCTACTTCAGTCGTTGGCAAAGCACAATCATCTTCCAAGTCTCCGCTGTAACATCAATTTCCCCAACCTTTCAGCAATGTAATGACTGCATTGTCTCTGCTCCCTTAATGCCATGTATATACCAAAATCAATCTTGTATTGGATCATATGACAGAAGCGATGCTAAATGGTCAGCACATTCTGTTTTATCATTTTTTTTTTCTGGACACACAAGAAGAGTATAGTTTCTACCTTCCTTTATTGCTATGTTAGGGTTGTGTACTGTCTTCTGTCCAATAGAGTGTAAATGGAAGGGATGAAAGCTATCCCCAAACATAGCCCTTGAGAATATCCCTGTGTATCTCCTATTCTTTCTTCCCTTACTGTGAAATCCTGAGATCAGTTATAAATTCCTTATGTTTAGGGACTGTGCCTTAGTCATCTTTGCATTTTTAGGAACCAGTAAACTGTCTAATTCATATAGCAGATGCTCAATGAACATTTATTAATTGATGCCAATATCTAGTAAAAGAAAAATAACTGCAATTAGGAGTTTATAAACAAAGCTGAAAGCTGATTACTGCTGGCAAGGCAGGACACAGGCCAATAAACAGAGAATGCAATAGACCAAAAAACAGAAAACTGTATCAAAAAGGTCAGTGTATCCTTTGGGAATATAGCTGGCATACTGAAGAGGTCAACATGGCATTTGTCTTCAGAGCAAGCTAACAGGCTATGGAATAGTTTTATAATAATGGTCATGATTGACAATATAATTCCTTGCATATGCTTAGTGTAATATACTGTATGTTTTCAAAATATGTTACCTATTATCTAATTTGATCTAGAAAACAATACAGATAGTTGGAGCAGGTATTATGATATCTATTTCAGGTAATGAAATTGAAGTACAATGAGATTAAGTACTTGCTAGAGGTCACATCTTAAGTAGTGGCTAAGTTAGACCTTAGTTTTCCTAATGAGAAACCCAAAGCCCTTCCCCCTGGGCAGTAGGCTGTCTGCTTCTATACACTACCTTATGACTTGGACCTGTCATCTCTCTGTCATCCATGTGCTACATGGCGTTTTCAGTCATCAACAGTAAAAGCTTAGAAAGATATTCACCAGCAGCTGCTTCAGTTTTACTGATTAAATTCCTAAGCCTCTTACTGTTTTTGCAATGGCCCTCACCTCTGAGGTTAGTGGAAATGGCCAGGTTGACAGAGAACTAGGGAATCCAGACTGAAAAAGAACTCTGAACAGCAGGCATAGTGCAAGACAATAAATAGTTGTAGCTTCAAGGACTTACTGGCATAGGACAATAAGAAACAAAGGATTTTATTTATATGAGAGTTTTTGTAAGCCTATAAAACAAAGAGGCTAAGTTGAAAATTCCATGAGGCTAGATTTACCATGTAGAAGACTGGCCTGGTCAGCATCTCCAGCAGCCAATGGGAGAAGGTGAGATCATGTTAAGGATGAATGAGACAAGGTTACGGGTTCACTACCTTCATCTCACATATGATCTTAGAGACAGGGCCCACTTCATGAGGATGAAGAATTCTGGTCAACCCAGGAACCTAACGGAGGAGCAGCTCAAGCCTATCCTTTGACTAGGGCAGTATATTTCATTTGAAGAGACTGCCCAACATTAGCAAAATCAGCAGAGTTGTCTTCAGCTAGGGTGCTGCAACATGCATATTTGCATTCCAAGTGATTATTTTTGTTCTTTCCTCTCTGGGGCTGCCTGTACTTTGGTTTAGTACCTAATACATTAAACATTGAAAAATATTACAATAGTGAGGCTGCCTGCCTGTAAAAACTGCCTGGTCTTCAAATTCTTCTACAATTTATTAGGTAAAGCAGCATTGTAATAATAACATTAGTTATTATGTACTACAATATTACTATGTATTACAATATTACTATGTACCAACTAAATTGTATTTAATATCTACCACTTGCAAGTTGGATATTATCTCCATATGATATATGAAAGAGCATAAGCATCCAAAAAGGAGCTAAGTTCACCCAGTAGGAAAGGGAATGTTTCAAAGCCCCTATTCTTTCAAGAGAAGAAAACAACATAGAAAGATAGGAAGAGAGCAAAGATGGGAGATTTTGTGCAATTCTAAGCACCTGATGCGACAGACTTCATTTACATTATACCAGATCCTCCCCAGATGCTTCTTGAGTCTCCAGCTTCTTTTTGAGCCTTTTTCTCTTCTGCCTTGAGCTCTAACTGAGGGACCCTCCAGTCTCTGATCTTATCCTTCTCAAGATTCATGGAATAGGAGCAGAAGTTCAGGGCCTGGGTCCCATGTCTTTGTCCCATAGAGCTGAGGCTAGGTCTTGTGCTATTCAAGGCTTAGGGATTTTATCTGTCCAATTCACCTACACCACAGGTTGGAAAGGCCGTTGTGGGCTGGCCCGAGACTTGAATACCATGGTTTACATCGTTTCTATGGGGAAATAGTTCCAAATTCCAAAGAAGGGACTTACAGGTAAATTTTTGGGAAATCCCCATTTATAAATTCAAGACAACTTATATAGATATGACAAGACTATACATTTCTTTCTACCTTAATGAAAATTTAAGGGGATGATCACTACATGAATTAGGAAATTGAAAAGATTTCAGAGTTAGGAAATTGAAAGATTTCATGGGCTTTCATTGCTCATGTGAGGGTAATGTGCTTTCTCTAAGACCTACAAAATAGTGAAATTATTAAAGAGTTTTATTACAGGCAACATTTCCATAAACTACTGTCTCCTTAACTAGCACTTTTTTATGGAGGCTAATTGGGGGAGCCTTCAGTTCTTTTTTCTAGCTGTAAATGAAGAAAATTTGTGCAAATATTCCTATCACGCCAGACCACACAGGAAATACTCCTGTGGGCTTGGCCCTGAGTGCTCTGCCATGCTGTACAAGCGGTGGCAATGGGAGGTCCCTGATGCACTCAAGTGCCTGATGGAGCAAAGGTGGAGAAATGGGGAAAAGAGGGAGACACCTGTGAGGGTCTGATTTCTGAACTGCAAGGGCGACACTATTAAACTTAATCATGTGCTTATTGAGTACCTGCTACGTAAGCTATTCTGTGCACTGGAAAAAGTAGCAGCCAAGTCTCTGTGCAGTATGAAAAGTAGAAAGAGCTTGCCATTTCTGACAATGAATTTATACTTTAAAATGAATGTGAATCTGCTCTTCTCAAGGCCTGTGTCGTATCTTATGTGACTTTCATAATGTGAACATTTTCCTGAGCTGAATGATGCTTGTTATTTAAAGTCACATTTTTTTTTGGTACAACATGTGTCCTCAACTCATGCCAACTATTTCATCTAGTTTCCAATTAAAAAAAAAAACAGGAGAAACTTCCATGTCAAACTTGTTGAGGGAGGGATTATGTGTCAGTCCAACATTTTCTAAGAAATGTTCTGCATAGTTTCCACCTTACATGTTGTCTTTAAACCCTAACTCCTGTTTCAAATGTGACTCTGCCTGGTTTAAGGATTGGATTCATAAGCCAAATCTCAATTCAGACATTTCCTAATTGAGCTATCAGGAATCATACATAGAAATTAAAATTCTGTCTTCTTTTTTCTTTTTTGCTCTTGTGGGCTTATGTTGCATTGTCATGTTTTGCTATGGTTTGCAATCATTTCTGTCTTTGTGTTGGAGACAACAAGCACACAACTGCCTGGAACATAAGAGATTCCAACACCCAGGTTAGAAGACAGTGTGGGATCCTTCAGGTCAGAAGTAAGGCAAGGGTAAGTGAGTCTAGTCAGATTCACGTTTTTGGAGCAGTGAGACTATGGTAGAGGAAAATGTGGAAGGCAATCAGCAAAGCATGACTGAGTGACGTGAAGACAGAGAATTGATTTTAGGTTTTAACAATGCATCTGAGCAAGTAGAAATGTGATGCCAAAATGGGCAATGGGTTTACCGTAAGACTTTGAGATGAGGAGTGAAATGAGAATGGTGTTCAACCAAGCAACAAGTTTCTATGAAGCATGAACCAAGTGATAACAGCAGCAGCAAAAGGTCATGTAGAATTTATAATCTAGTGGTATCGAATGAGGCTTCCATACTACATCCAAACTTGTAAACCAGAGGATCTGAAAAAAGAGCTGAACAATGCAGTAAGGAGCATAATAGAATAGGTAATTATGGAGGGAGACTGACTGGCTGGTATATGGAAGTAAATTAAGATAGGGAGAGAGTGAATGCCAGATGCTCTATGCAAGTGAGGTAAAAAGAACTTAAGATGGTGCTTTTTAGAAAAGAAGAAAAGGAGCAAGTAGACTGAAACATAGGATATAAAGTATAATTATTTAAAGAAAAATTGGACATGGGAAAAAGGAGAAAGAAAATTTTAAAAGACTCAGTATGAGTGAGCCTCATGCAACACAGTGAAATCTATGTCATGAGAAAAGGAGCAGGTTGTAGGAATGCAGGAAGTGGGGCCTAGCTGATCATTGGTCCACATTATCTCAAGTAACGTCAAGGTGTCCATGTACAGTGAGAATCTGTTAGCAAGAAGCACCTTGGGAAAAATCAACAGTGACACCAAGTAATCTGTATACAGCCTTCTGTGCAGATAGTAAGTGCTTCCAGAGTTCAGAGTAAGAAAATGTCATTGGGGTCAGGAAAATCATTTTTAAAAGTTCTAGAAAGATGTGGGATAAGGTTTGGCTTAAAAATGAGTATAATTTTAATAGGTAGAAAGGAGTTGGAAAAACATTTCCAAATTATAGGAGAAATTATAAGAACAATGGTCCAGAAGTGGCAAAAGACATGAACTGTCCATGATGATTGGCAAAGTTGTATAACAGACCAGCTTTTCAGGTGAAAAGTTTCTAAGAAGGAGGAGAGAAATACGGGGTTACTTGGATACTTTGTGTTATGTACTGAATGTTTATGTACCCCAAAATTTATATATTGAAGCATTAAAACCATTGTGGCTATATTTGGAGATTGGGCCACTAAGAAAGTAATTCAGTTTAAATGAGGTCATAAAGGCAGTTCTGTGATCCCATAGGTTTAATGTCTTTATAAGAAGAGACACCAGAGAGCTCTCTTTCATGCACTCTCTTCTCTCTCTCTCTCTCTCTCTCTCTCTCTCTCTCTCTCTCTCTCTCCATGTAAGCACTGAGAGAGGGCCATGTGAGTACACAGTAAAAAGGTAACTGTAACCCAAGGGGAGAACCCTTACCAGGCACTAACCCTGCTGCCAACTTGATTTTGGACTTCTCAGCATCCAGAAAAGTGAGAAAATAAATGTATGTTGTTTAAGCCACCCAGTATGTGATATTTTGTTATAGCAGCCCAATCAGACTTACATAGACTTTGGCATCAGGTTATATTAATGGCAGACATAGGAATTTGGTAATGGGCGACCCATTGGAGACTTGAGAGGGGTGTGAAATAGTGAACGTTTTGTTGGAGAAGGCCCACAAGGAAGTCAGGTGGAAGGAACATGATGTAATGGAATGGCAAACAGTAAAATGTGGCATCTACAGACCCAAATTCAAATTCTGACCTGCCAAGTGTTAAGTATGTAACTTTGAGTGTCCTATGCAATTCACCTTTCTGGGCCTTAGCAACATTATCCATTAAATGGACATATAATATGCACCTCTCAGGATGTGGGAAAAAAATGCCTGGCACAAAGCAGGCCTGCAATGATCAGTTGATGAATGAATTGGAGGAAAAGTCTTGAAGTAGGGATTCTTTAAGAAAGTTATCTCAATAATCTAGGTGAAATTCTGTGTTTTATTTCTCCCAGGGAGAAAGGAAAAATAGAGATAGATGAGACAGAAAAGGAAAGAAAATGACAGAAATTGGCAATCTATTAGACTAAATAAAGGAAATACGGAGATGGAGACCCAGCTGATTATAAGTGTCCTGTTGGGATGCTATTGTCTATTGTCAGAATTCAGCATGTGTAACACAGTGGGAATATGTTGAATTTAGCCTTAGGCTGAATTCATGGCAGATATGTGAGAAACTTGAAATAGCATAATTTTCCATATTTCTAAGTTCAGTTTAACCTCTGTTATCATATTTTTTAAAAATGACAGCCCTTTCGTTTGACTTTCCTACCATCAGTGTTTTGGATTCCATCATTCTTTCTCCTAAATTGGCCAGGAGAGGAGCTGAGAGCAGAGCAGAGAGATAAATTTATCCAAGACTGGTAGAAGTCCTTTTATACTAGCTTCTGAAGAAAAGGAACTGCAATTGTTTTGTAACCTTTGGTAACAGTTGCTCTGCCCTCTGGGAACCAAGATTGATTTCCACATCAGCTAGGTGGAAGCCAATTGCCCAAGAGCTGAGATTGATGGTCTATCAAAATGCAACAGCTTTCCTGGAGAGAGTTCTGTGTCAGAGAATCACAGGTGCTGATAAAATTGTTACTTTTCTCCTGCCCCTAAGGTGACAATGAGAAGGTGTTCTTTTGTGCACATTGTAAGGTAATAATGAATTTTAGTATTCATATAGTAGCTTCCTGACAAAGGGTTCATAGCATTTATTAACAGTGTCCTCTTGGTCCAAACCCTCTCTAAGACTCTGACAAAAGTAATGATCCTCTCTGTCCTTTGAGGATTAAGAGGCACATCCAAAAACCTTGCAGAGAGGCAATGAGTAGGTTGTATTGTCAACAACATATTGACCATTCTTAATTCGTTTATGTTAAGTCTGAAATAACTATGATATCACAGTTTGAAGAGTGTCCTGAAGTTCACAGATTACATTCACATATATCGTCTTAGAGTTAAGAGTTGGGGTTTGGTACCCAAATTCTATTACTGACTCCATCTGTCTCTGGGACAGAGGATGGTGTCTCCATCCTAACCTGTAGAGCTGGCCACACAAGAAACAATTGCCAAATGGAAAGCAAAATAACATTAATAAAATCTGTGCTGGAGCACATGATCTCAGGATGTCTGAGGAGAAATTCTCATTTCTCCTCCCCTGAATTTAAGATAGTCACGTTTGAAGAGCATATCCTGTCCAGTTTTAGAGACGAGAAGTGAGAGTGGAGATAGCTCTACTTGGGTCCTCCCAGAAAAGTAATAGACAAGTTTGGATTTTCTTTATGGCATTTAACAAAATTTTATGTGAATTTGCATCATGAGTCGACTTAAAATATAACAAACTTTAATTTCTGTGAACTGCAACAGCATTTTGACTTCGTGTAATGGCACATCTCTTTGGGCTTAGAAATATGATCCATTAGCTCCTTCTTCATAGCCTTGTAAGGGATGGAGCTGGGAAAAGGCAGAGCTTGGCCTGGGAACTAATATGACTATGGAGTAGGGTGATCAGAAAGAAAAACTATAGTGCCCTAAGGAATGAAATAAACAAAAATAGTTTAATCAAGCCAACATCAACATCAAGAGTTCTAATCTGGCATAGTTCCAGGCCAGGTACCAGGCATACAGTGAGGCAGGTTGCAACATGGAGACTCTCATGACCCCCCTTGGCTTAGAGCAGAATTCAGCCTGGTGGGGAGGGACCTAGAGAGAGTTAGGTCATGAATTAAGGCCCAGAGTAAGAGGATGTGGCTTAGGGAAGAGCTCCAGTCCCAAGGAAAAAAATCTGGAGTGTCCATCAGCAAACTAAGGCCCAAGCAACAACTGGGTGACTGTGGTAGATAGGGATGAGGGAAAACTCAACTTGGTCAGTAAACATGCACTGAGGGCTCCACCTAGGGACACTGGCAGCAAGACCAACTCCAGTGGTGAGTCCAAGGCTTCAGATTTGTACTTAGACCAGATGAGCTCTGGAACTCTATAGGTGAAGACAGGAAAACAGATCTGTTCATCATGCATTGTACACAATTACTGGTATGTATGTGGGCTGGGGGTTCCCATTAGAGCCTAAGCTGTGTTCCCCAATGGAATTCAAAAACATCTGGTCATTTTGGAAGAAATGGTGAAAAAAGACCATCAGAAATGTATTTGCATCAGGAGCCAACAAACCTGAGAGCAAACTCATTCTATCAAAAGAAAATCAGGGCCAGGTACAGTGGCTCAAACCTGTAATCCCAGCACTTTGGGAGGCCGAGGTGGGAGGATCACTTGAGCTCAGGAGTTCAAGATCAGCCTGGGCAACATGGCAAAACCCCATCTCTACTAAAAATACAAAAATTAGCTGGGTGTGGTGGTGGGTGCCTGTAATCCCAGCTACTTGGGAGGCTGAGGCAGGAGGATCACTTGAGCCTGGGACATTGAGGCTGCAGTGAGCTGAGATCACACCACTGCACTCCAGCCTGGGCAACAGAGCAAGACCCTGTCTCAACAAACGAACAAACAAAAAAAAAAAAAAAGAAAGAGAAATACAGAAAATAGGAATATTTGCTCAGATTTGCTTCCCATCCTGTCATTCTTAGGACTTATGACTGAGGGGACAGGTTCTGAGTAAAAATGTCAAAGCAAGGCTTTTTGTAAGACATTGAAGCAAATGAAACACTGGTTTTTATCATTTTAATGGAAGAACATGCAAATATGGAGAGGAAAATCTATGAGCCTATGATGCCTTCTGTCTCTAGAGAATACTGCCACTCACTTGCACCCCACATGACCGACCGTGGTATATGAGCAAAAGTTCTGCCCATGGACAAAGCCAATTGATGGTGAGCCCAGCCTGCCTTCTTACTTTCCTTCATTCATTTCATGCTCTGCTGCCAGAGTTACCTTTCTAGAACACTGCTTCTCAAAGTATGGTCTCCAAAACATCTGCATAAGACTCATTAGGTGCTGGTAAAAAAATCTGTTCAATGGACCTCAATGGGCCCTGTAGAATAGTAAAATTTAGGTGAACATCCTGAGAATTGGCATTTTCATAAACTATTCTTGTGTGTTCTCAAGTTTGAGAACCATTATTTTAGAACTTAGTTTTTCCACCATGTCATTTTAATGCTTAAATACTTTAAATGGGTTTCAGTTGTCTGTAAAACAAATTCTAACTGGTGAAAACAGCCTTCTAGGTAGCTCATAAACAGGTGTGCCAGGCAGCCTTTCGGGCCTCCTTTTCCCCAGGCCTGTGGGCTGCTCTGCTCAGCTGCACTGAGAAAGTGCCTCTTCCTGGAGCACACGCTCTTGGTCAGGCCTTGGTGGGTTGGTGGCTGCTTCTGACAGAAGTTTTTGTGCATATTTTGTTTCCTTAGAGAAAAGCCTTGCCCCACTTCCTCCTACTTCTTAAAGACTAAAACTCATATATTGCCTCTCTATGGGTTTTCTTAACCACCCAAGCAAAATTAGTCATTATTTTCCCTCATTGTTATGATTAACTTTATATGTCAACTTGGTGAGGCTAAGGTACCTAGGTGTTTGGTCAAATACTAGTCTAGATGTTGCTGTGAAGGTATTTGTGAATGTAATTAACATTTACAATATTTAAGTAAAGCAGATTACTCTCCTTAGTGTGAGCGGTCCTCCTACAATCAGTTGAAGGCCTTAAGAGCAAAGACTGGGGAGGCCAAGGCGGGCGGATCACCTGAGGTCGGGAGTTCCAGACCAGCCTGACCAACATGGAGAAACCCCGTCTCTACTAAAAATGCAAAATTAGCCAGGCATGGTGATGCATGTCTGTAATCCCAGCTACTCGGGAGGCTGAGGCAGGAGAACCACTTGAACCCCAGGGGCGGAGGTTGCAGTGAGCCGAGATCGTGCCATTTCATTCCAGCCTGGGCAACAAGAGCGAACCTCCGTCTCAGCAGGGGGGGTGGGGAGAAGCAAAGACTGAGGTTTCCTGAAAAAGAAGGTATTCTGCCTCAAGACTGCAGCATAGAAATCCTGCCTGAGTTACCAGTCTGCTAGTCCGCCCTACAAGTTTCAGATTTACTAGCCCCAAAACCAGGGGCTGATTCCTTAAAATCCCTCTTTCTCTCTCTCTCTCTCTCTCTCTCTCTCTGTGTGTGTGTGTGTGTGTGTGTGTGTACATATATATCCTACTGGTTCTGTGCCCTCTCTTTCACCTGGAAGGAGAGTTCAACTGTGCCAGAGGCTTCAGAGTATTGGTTTTCAGTGTTCCACAGAAAAGCATCTCTTGAACAAGGTGAACTTCATTTCAGAGTATTGTCATTGCTCCCTCTCTGCCTCATAAATACAGGCTGACAGATTGAACTTACCTTTGATTGCGAAGTCAAAGTGGTAACTTTCTATTTAACCTTTTGTTTGGAATGTGGATCATTTCAGAATGAAAGGTCTGTACTTCCCAAGTGGCATTTTAATCAGAGGGTGATTGTGAAGTGAATGTGAATTTCATTCTTCTGTTGAGAATCCTTTAACCAGCTGCTGTGCACAATAATATCTTATACCTGATAGTACTGTATATTGTATGAGGACCTTTTATATACAGTAGTAAGAGCTCAGTAAATGTTAGCTACTCTTCTTCTTTAATCCTGACAGCAAACCTGGAGTTGGTTATTGATGTCAAATTGCAAAGGCAGCTCAGAGAGGTTAAGGGGTATATAAAGGTCACACAGCTAGTAATTCAAGGTTATAGGTATAGTCATGCTTTGCTTAGTGACAGGAGTACCTTCTGATAAATGCATAGTTAGGTGATTTTGTTGTGGTGCAAACATCATAGCATGCACTTACAGAGCCTGGAGGATATTGCCTATGGCACGTCTGGGCTATATGGCATAGCCTATGGCTCCTAGGCTACAAACCTGTGCAGATTGCTACTGTACTGAATCCTGTAGGCAATTGTAGCACAGTAGTATTTGTAAACCTAAACACTTAAAAGATACAATAAAAATATAGTATAAATGATAAAAATGGTATACCTATACAGGGCATGTACAGTGCTGTCAGGACTAGAAGTTGCTCTAGGTGAGTGAGTGAGTGACTGGTGAGGGAATGTGAAGGCCGAGGACATTGCTGTATACTACCACAGACTTGATTTTATTTATTTATTTATTTATTTTTAAGGTTTCAGAGATTTTAACTAACACAAATGACTGTGCCTAGCCTTTAAATCTATCCAAGGCAAATGGAGTGAAAGCTTTCTAATTATTTGGTGCTTCATCTGGCAGTGATGTCAGAAAAACAGGAGCCTCCCTCCTACATCATCCAACTGACTTCCTTTAGCTCCTTGTTCTCTTCGATCCCAGAATTCTCACATGGGTTCATTTCTGCCAGTAGTCACTCTGTCCATAGTTGTAGTGCACATAGTACCTAAGGGAAAACATTAGAAAAATGAGAGCTTCTTTCGAGGGAAAAAAAAAAAAAAACACTAGCTTTGTTTCTGTATTGCTGAGGGTACTAGCATTGATGTGAATTTTCTGATTTTTTCTTTTAGAAATTTAGAAAATAACTTAGTCAAACAATATTTTAGAAGTTAGAGTGGCAGACTTTTTCTGTTTAGAGCTCATGTCCCATAGGGGGAAATGTCTTTTGAGAATTATATGCAATTAAATAAAGAAATTGAATAAGTTATGTGCATATAAATGCTATATGCTTACATGGCATTAAATTTATTAAAAATGTCTTTCTTTAATAATAAATTAACCTTAGCTTACTGTAACATTTTACTGTTTCAAGTTTTTAATTTTATAATTTTTTTACTCTTTTGTAATAATAGCTTTAAACACAAATACATTTTACAGCTGTACAAAATATTTTCTTTCTCTATATCCTTATTATATAAGCTTTTATGTTTTTTTTTCTTTTTCTTTTTTAAATTTTTTTGTTGTAAACTAAGATACAAACACACACATGAGCCTAGGCATACACAGGGTCAGGATCATCAATATCACTATTTTCCATCTCCACATTTTGTCACACTGGAAGGTCTTCAGGGGGCAGTAACATGCATGGAGCTGTCATCTCCTGTGACTAGAATACTTTCTTCTGTAATATCTTTTGAAAGACATGGCTAAGACTGCTTTACAGTTAACTTTGTTTTTAATAAATGGAAGGAACACACTCTAAAACGGCAAGAAAAAGCATAAGATAGTAAATACATAAACCAGTAATATAGTCATATATTATCATTATCAAGTACATGTACTGTACATAATTGTATGTGCTATATTTTCTTTTTTCTTTTTGTGGGGGATAGAGATAGAGTCTCGGTATGTTGACCAAGCTGGTGTCAAACTCCTGACTCATGTGATCCTCCTGATTCCACCTCCCAAAGTGCTAAGATTACACCACCATGCCCAGCCTATACTTTTATGTGACTGGCAGCGCAGTAGGTTTGTTTACACCAACATCACCACAAACACATGAGTGATGCATTGTGCAATAGCATTATGATGGATATTATGTAGTCACTAGGCTATAGGAATTTTTCAGGTCTATTATAATTATACGGAATCATCATTGTATATGCAGTTTATCATTGACTGAAATGGCCTTATGCATGTATGTATAATGTATATGTGTGTGTATATAATAGTAGCCACTGCTTATTATTAGGTGCTCTTTACATGCCAAACATTTACTAACAGTCTTACATGCATTATTTCTTTTAATTATTGCAACAACCTCATGAAATAAGTACTATAATTAGTCCCATTTTGCACCTGCAGAAATTAATGCTAAAAGAAGGTAAGTGGCTGAAAGTTATACAACTAGTAAAATGATAGGGCGAGATTTTAACACCAGCTCCATCTGCATCCAGAGCCCACAGCCTTAGCTGCTACCCTCTATGGCTTTTGTACCTACAAAGTATTCGTGTGTACATGCACGTGAATATTTGTATGTGCACATTGCATGTTTCTGTGTTTCAAAAAGCAATAAAACAGCTCACGCAGTTACTAAGAAGGAAAGCCAGAAGTTGAATTAAGACTTTGTACTCTTCTTCACACCGTGGCTGCCTTCTGGAGTGCTTGTGGCTACCGTTTTAACCCACAGGCTTTTTTTTTTTTTTTTTTTTTTTTAATCAACACTAGTTTTCAGTTAGCTCTGATGATCAGTGCCAGGAAGAACATGGGTCACTGAAATCCAAAAATAATCCCTGAAACATATTTTATGCAATTTCCTGTGTTAAAATCTCCTGCCAGAGCTGTTAAACATAGTCTTGGAGATGAGATGTGTCCAGGTTGACCTCATTTTCCTTCCCTGTCCTTCCTGGGATGGAGACTCAAACCAATGCTCAAATGACCAAGGCTGGGAAACAGGAGGGAAGGCTGAGGGGAAGATGTTGGTGGAAAAAACTTTAATGACATACATGAGGGATTGAATAACTGAGGATTTGGGGGCTCCATTATATAAATTCTTAAAAGTCTAAGAGCAGGAATGAGAGGGATGAAAGGAGAAGGCATGAATGCGTGGCAGGGGCATTTAATTGATCCAGAATGGGATTTTGCACTTTATGTACATTTGATGCATGTTTGGTGAATAGATGACTGATTGATTGGCTGAATGAAGGATTAGAAATTGTTTAAACTCAACTGATCTTTCACACATATAGCATACCTTAACTTAAAGGAACAAGACCTGGAATCTTTATCTCTCAGTCACCCAAAAAGGGGTATCATGAACAGGAACTGTTTGAGGAACCTCTGTCAATTTTTGACAGTCTACCATCTAATCCCTCAGTCCTATTAGCACCTGATATCTCAGTAATCCCATGTTATGTGCAGCCTTTGAGTGAACAAGTAATCTTCTCACCAAGAAAAGGAATCTTAAGTTCAACCAATCTGACTCACTCTCCTACAACTGTGAATGGCATGAGGGTCTCACCACTGGTAGAGGTCAGTAGCAGTGCAACACCCTGTGTGTCCTACATTGTCTTTCTTGAACTGTCTGCTGCCAACTTCCAGAGCATCTTTAGCACATACACTTTCTTGGAGCTTTCAGTCCTTCGGCCAGTTTGCAGCCCTGACCCTGACCAGTCGACCCCCTTGCCATGGCCCTTTCAATGTAGGCAACATGCATCCCAGGCCTCAGGTTGCCTTGCCCGTGAGTGAGCTTGCACTCAACTCCTGTCTGCCCAGCCCCACCAACAGCCTTAGCCAGACCCACCCCAGAGGCTGTCTTCTGCTTGCCTAGTACAGTAGTCCCCACCCTTGGCTTCATCTGTGTTTCCACTTTCCAGGAATTCAGTGCTCAACTGTGTTCTGAAAACATTAAATGGAAAGTTCCAGAAATAATTCATAAATTTTAAATCACATGCTGTTCTGAGAAGTGTGATGAAATCTTGTGCTGTCCTGCTCTGTCCCACCCGGGACATGAATCACTCCTTTTTCCAGCATGTCCACGCTGTACACGCCACCCGCCTTTCGTTGCTTAGGAGCCATCTCAGTTATTAGATCAACTGTCTCAGTATTGCAGTGCTTGTGTTCTAGCCACCCTTATTTTACTTAGATGGGCCCAGAGCACAAATGTCATGTTACTAGCAATTCAGATATGCCAAAGGGAAGCAGTAAAATGCTTCCTTTTTTTGAAAAAGTGAAAGTTCTCAACTTGATAAGAAATAAAAAAATTATAGGTTGTAGTGTTACAATGGCCCCAGGGTACAAAAGTAGTGTTACTAGCAATTCAGATGTGCCAAAGAGAAGCAGTAAAATGCTTCCTTTGTATGAAAAAGTGAAAGTTCTCAACTTGATAAGAGATGAGAAAAAATTATAGGTTGAGGTTGCTAAGATGTATGGTAAGAACAAATCTTCTATTCATGAAATTGGGAAGAAGGAAAAAGAAACTCATGCTAGTTGCTATCCCACCTCAAACTGCAAAAGTTATAGCTACAGTGCATGTTAAGTACTAAATTACCAAGGAAAAGGCATTAAATCTGTGAGTGGAAAACATGAACAGAAACATGTTTGGATTGACAGCAGTCAGGTCTGGTACTACCTTCTGTTTCGGGTATCCACTGGGTGTCTTGGAAAGTATGCCCTGTAGACATGGGGTGACTGCTATACTGGAGTGGCTCAGAGATCTTCTCCAACAAATGAATTGAAACTGTACCTCAAAAGAGGTCTAAATCTCAGCTTAGGGAGGGGGCTTCCCTTCCAAATTTTGTCTTCTTCAGGTACTCTCCCTCAGACCTAGGGTATTCTTTAGAGTTCTTTTTATGTATTTATAGCGTCTCATAGTTACTCCTCTGTTATAGTGAATAATCCTCTATATTAAACTTTTCCTGTATGATTACTGTCTCCTAACTGAAAGTCAACTGATAAAGAATTGGTAGTGGAACTAGTTTCACAAAGATGGGATTCAGAAATTGTCAAGATATTACTTCCAAGATGAAAGAAGAGTTGATTCACTCCATGTCACCTACCATAAAAAAGAGGCATTTTGTTTGGTAGGCCTTCTTGTATTGTTTAGATCATGCACATGGGTTGAAGTGCAGGGCTGAGCTCCTTGACTATGGGGAATAGGATACTAGGAATCCATGGTATAAAGTGATATAGTAACTAATCAAGCTGTAACTTGTGGTTTACTGTGACGAAGAGCCAACTGAAACAAGCACCATAGGATCCAAAGTGGTTGCTGCACTTTACTTTTATGGCTAATGATGACTACAAGGACTATGATTTGAGATTGATTTTTTAAATGCACTTGAGTACTTACAAAAAAGAAAATGACATGCTCAGATTCTTCAACTTTTAGCTTAAGTGACTATCTGAGAACTAGAGAACTTCCGTGACAGCTTTGAAAGGATTTCCTTTTTCTTGTAGCCACAGTGCTAATATTGCTGAAAATAAAAAGCAACCATTTAGTTGCATGGACTGCTGAATTCCAAAAGTTAAATCCACAGTCTTGTCAAGTTTCCCAATGTGAAGTTGAAGACATTGATTAGAAAATGATGAAATCCTTAAACTTAGAATGTCGGCATCTGGTTGGATCCAGAGAAAGCTGAAAATTGGGAATTCCCATGTGATTTTGAGTCTTCCTTATCTAGAGAATTAGGTTCCTCTTTGTTGCCTACCTTGCTTGGAAATCCTGTGATAACCTCACCTGGGGCAAGAGCCTTGAAAATGGATGCTCATTTCTCTCAAGACTTACCATAACCACACTTTGTCGCCACTAGACCCATAACTAGGGTGAAATTTCACCATGCTCCAAGGGGCCGGGACACACTATAACTCATGACATTGTAGCTTACAAACCAAAAGAATTGCAAGACTTTGCTACTGCATATGTAAAGAAACTCAGGGAACATGCTCAGGAGTGAATTCTAAAGGTGTTAGACCAAGTGGCAGCACTTAGCCTGAAAGGGAAGGTGGTAATATTTATCATAATAGATATCAGAGAGGTACCAATAATCAAAATGCTTGGACACACAAGAATATCTGTCAGTAGGTTAACTGATCATGGTTTCCAGGGAATTAAATAGATACATAGCCTACTAAAGTGTTTCTTGACTGATCAAATAAACTCTAAATCTAGAGCAAAAAACTTGAGTCCCCACATTGAAGAGTCATGGCCTCTCCCTGAGTTTCCAGACCTTAGTCAATTCACAGACTCAGCAGCCCTTAATTGAAGGGGTGTAAACAGAATCCTGTGGCCACTAATTAGAGTGAGAATGTGCTGGAGAGAAGGAAATACTCAAACCTTTGGGGGAAATTATTGGATAGTCATCTGAATTAATGACAATTCCTGGGGACCCAAAATGCCAGTATGGCCTGATAGTCAAAGTGGGGCTTACAGTGATCAAATAATAAATAGTATCACAACTGGCTCAGTTTGTACCCACATTGGCTCTCTGACCATAGGGTGAGGGTGATTATGTCAGGACTAAATGAAAGCCCCTGGAACATTTCTTCACTATCAAGATAGTAAACTACAAGCAATATCTCATCCCTAGAAAAATTGCCAAGATTAATGCTACTATCAAAGATTTAAATATAGCAGAGGTGGTGATACCTATCACATCCCCATTTATCTCACCAATTAAGCCTCTAATAAAGTCAGGTCGATCTTGGAGAATGACCAGAGACTATTGTTAACTTAATCAGATGGTGGCTGTAATTGCTGCTGCTATTCTAGATATATTATCTTTTCTAGAACAAATCAACATTAATTCTGGCACTTGGTATGCAGCTATTGATCTGAATAATGCTTTTTTATGCAACCAATTTGTAAGGAACACTCGATGACCTTTGCTTTTACCTGGGAGGACAATCAGTATTCTCTTACAATCCTGCATCGGGGTTCCATCAGTTCTTCTCTAAGGGTTATTGTAGCCTGCAGAGACCATGGCTATCTTATTCCATAAAATATCATACTTGTCCACTATATCAATGACATTATGCTCATTAGATCTGATTAGCAAGTACTCTAGATACTTTAGTATGACATATGCAAAATAAAGGGTAGGAGATAAACTCCACAACATACAAGTGTTTGAAACCTCGGTGAAGTTTCTGATGGTTCATTGGTTTGCAGCATGTCAAGATATTACTTCCAAGATGAAAGAAGAGCTGATTCACTCCACGTCACCTACGATGAAAAAGAAGCACTTTGTTTAGTAAGCCTTCTGGTATTTGGAAGGCAAGTTATACCACATTTCAGTGTGCTACTTCAACTCATACTCAGAGTCACCTGTAAGGTTGCCACTTTCAAGTAGGGACCATAGCAAGAGAAGCAAGTTTAGGCTGCAGTACAAGGCAAGCTACTACTTGGTCCTTATGATCCAACAAGTCCAATGATACTTGAAGTGACCGTGACAAATGGGGATGCTGTTTGGAGCTTCTAGTAGGAGAAAAACAACAGATATTTCTAAGACTTGAGAGCACATCTCTGCTCTCTCCTTCAAATAACTTTTCTCCTTTCAAAAAACAAACAAACAAACAAACAAAAACAGCTTCTGACTTGTTGTTGGGCCTTGGTAGAAACTGAATGCCTAAACATGAGATATTAATTGACCATGGAATCCAAGCTTATCCTTATAAACTGGGTATTGTTTGCCATATGTATTCATAAGAGTAGATGTCATCAGCAACAATCTATCATGAAACTAAAATGGCGTACAAAAGACTGAGCTCAGGCAGGTCTTAAAAGTAAGAGTAAGCAAACTGGTCACACTAATTTAACACCAACTCTTGTTGCATTGCCTTCTGTATTTCGATCAATGCCTATGGCCTCTGGAAATATTTTTTATTATCCAATTTACTGAGGAAGAAGAATGTCAAGCCAGATGGGTCTGTAAGATATGATGGTACTAACAAAAAGAGGACAGCTGCATCACTATAGCCTCACCTAGGCATGGCTCAGAAGGGTGGTGCTGAAGGAGAATCTCCTTGTCACAATGGGCAGTACTTTGAGTAGTACATTTGGTTGCCTGCTATGCTTGGAGTGAAAGACGGGCCAAATTGTAAATGCACACTAACTCTTGGGCAGTTGCTAAGTTTGGCTAGATGGTCAGGGATTTAAAAAGAAACAGGATTGGAAAGTTGGTGACAAGAGGTCTAGGAAAGAACTATGTCAATGGACCTCTCATAATGGCACAGACAGGAGATATTTGTGTTTTGTGTGAAACCAAACAAAGGGCATCCACTGTAGAAGCTCTTAAGAATGATGTGGATAAAATGGCATGCTCTAATGATATTCATTAACCTCTTTCTAGTCATACTAGCTCTTGTTCAATGGGACAATAAAATAGCCATAGTGGCAAGGCCAGAGGGACTAAACAACATAGATTTCTCCTTACTAAGACTAACCTGCTTAATGCTACTGACTAATTTGCCAATAGCAAAGACCAAAATTGAGCTCCTAATACGGCACCATTCCCCAGGGTAACCATCCAGCAAACTGATGGCAGGTTGATTACATTTGATCTTTTATATCATAAACGGCACAAAATTACATATGGTCTGTAATTGATTTCTCTACACGTAATGCTTCTGTTAGTATCATCACCCATAGGCTTAGAGAAAGCTTTATCTACTGTCAAGGAATTCTGCGTAGCACTGAGTCTGATGAAGGAACTCATTTCGCAGCAAAGTAAGTGCAGCAATGGACTTACATCTATGGCATAACTGATTTTCCTACATATCACATCACCTGGAAGCAACTGGGCTCACTGAAATGTTGAATTGCTTATGTACAACTCAATTACTAAACAGGTTGAGAAACAACACCCTAAAATTATAATATTTTGTGTATAGGATGCAGTATGTTCTTCAAATCACAGACCAGTGTATGATACTGTTTCCCCCATAGCCACAATGCATGGCTCCAGGATTCAAGGTGTAAGGGTGCCTCTTCTCACTATGATTGCTTAATAACTCACTCACAGAATTTTTGCTCTATGAGTTTAGAGGTCTTTGTATCCAAGGAGGTAAGATTTCCACTGGGAGACACAATGGTATTTCTACTGAATTGGAAGATGAGACTTTCACACGGCCATTTTGGGCTCCTTATGCCACTTGAACAAACAAGGAAAAAAGAAATTACTCTACTTGTTGGAGTTACTGATCCAGAATACCAAGAGGAAATTGAGTTACTGCTGCACAGCAAGGACAAAGGAGATTTTGTTTGGAACACAGTGGACTCTTCGGAGTGCCTCTTTATACTTCCATATTCAATTTAAAAAAAAGTTAATGAAAACTACAGCAACAAAAAAAAAGGGCAGGTTAATTGACAACTTAGATCCCTTGGAAATTAACATTTCGGTCACTCCACCAGGTAAATAACTCCAACTAGCTGAGATTCTGGCTGAGATGGGGAAATATAAAAGTGGTATTGAAAGAAGGACTAATTAAATATCAACCAAATCCTGTAACCAATTAAAGTAATAAGAACTGTAGTAATTTTGTGTTTTATCTTTACTTGTTATATGCATTCATTTGTATGCTAATCATTTTATTCTCTCTTCTTTACCCATTTGTTTTCATTTTACTTGCAAGCTGTTGTGGGTTAACTTTAAATTTTACTCTTTAGGTAACAGAACATTCAATGGGACTACAGTGAAATTTGGGAGTCATTGACATAGCCAGCAATGGATACAATGACTGTTGGAACTATATACATCTCCTTACTGTTGGGAAAAGTGAGAATTCCTCACCAGCAAGAAGGATAGTTGTATCTTATAAGGGTGGAAATACAGAGTTATTTACTTGTTGTATGAAAGTTGAAATGTGTGTAAAAGGGTGTATGGAATCTGAGTTGTCAAAAGAATAAACAATGACATTAATTTATTGCTTATCTCATAATCGATTATGCATTATCTCCTGTGTAATAATGGAGCCAGTCCTCCAGATATTTCTCCTTCACAGTGAGCATTATGATATAAGCTTTATCAGTAGAGGGTGTGGAGGGATATTGCTTCTGGGGTGCTGCTGTGTTGTAGTCTTCCTGCTCCTACCACAGCGCTTCCAGAAGTAGACATGGAAAAAATCCAGTGGTGCTCCACTGCAGCTGCTTGTCCAGAGCTTGTAGGTCCTTGCAAGCCCACATTCCTTACCCTAGCCTAGTGGCCACCTCACTGTGGCCCTCTCCACAGTCACCACATGCTCTATGTTTTACAGCACCCTGCTAGGAAGTGATCTCTCAGTACCCTAATTCAGTATTCTAATGCACACTGCTTAGAGTATCTTCTGGGACCTTCTGAGAAATTGATCTGACTGGAGAGTTTTCCAGCTTTACTAATAAATCCACTCTAGAATGTTCTTTTTTCTGAGCCTTTTGTTCACTTATTCTATAGTCATATGGCCATATCGATTCTGGCATTTTCACTTCACTTAGTGTGTGCCATCACTCTTTCTAAGCTTTCAAGAGCCACTCTAACCACTGTTAGCACCACCTCTAAGGGCCTTTCTAGGGTGTTAAGTCCTTTAATACTATAGGAGAGTACACTCATATCAATAAACTCTCTCTTATCCAACCCTATATTCCATCTCGCTTGACCTACAACCCTCAAGATCTAGTTCTCTACAATATTTCCAGTTCCTGCCAGGAAGTACTGGTCAAATTCTACAGCCCCTTCAACGTATAGTCTTATCTTCCCCTAGCAGGCCCAACACATGGCCCAATGGACTTTGCTGGGATTTGACCCTTCCTTTTTATTGGTCTGGTTTCCAGGAAAGCATAACTGAAGCTTATCTTGTATAGCATCTACCTAATTGGAGGCCTCTGCATTATCTTTAAATAAAGAAGGGGCCACTATCTTCTAACAAGTGTGAGTGGGTCATTTCTATATGTCCAGTGCACTCAGGAGAATCTGAGAGTTCAAGGTTCTCAAATGCATCTACCTATACCTATCCCTATCCCATTTTGCAGTGTCTCACTCTTTCCCTAGTAGAACTTGGGCCTAGAAAGCCGGCTGTGTTAGAGAATTTAATCTTCTCTTAAGTTCCACTACTAAGTGGATCTAAAGCCTGAGCCTGATCTTGAGTCTGATCTTCCAGCCACAGGAGATACCTTAAGTACCGCCAAAGAGTTATCTCATGCCTGCACATTTCGTCATGAATTGATGACTTACCACCCAGAGCCTGTTATTATATCTCTTCAATGAGTCATTGGTACTCAGCATCAACCACCCAATCCCATGGTTCTTATGGGTGTCATTTCCTTCACATGTCTCTAGCACTATAAAAATTGCATCAGCCAGTTCATTTTCTTCCACCAAAATTTTGTTCAAGTTCGCCACCAGTGAGAGTTTTAACTACACTGCCACAGCATCCCTGGGGCCATTTGTTCTCCATCCCATCCCCACTAGTGATGAGATCCTCATTGCCAGCCAGCCAATGAATGATCTGTCTCCAGAAGCCCATTTAGAGGCTGCTTACTAGAACCACTTCTGATAGTTACATTGGTTCTCTGGCGAGAGATACCAAATGAATAGTGTTGGGGTGAAGGAGTGGGCTCTCAGAGATATAATTTAAAGGAAGAGAGGAGGGCAGGATTGGGTAAAAGAGAAACTGATTTATAACTGAGGCCTCAGCTAATCCTATGGAGAATTTTGGAGCTGAAATGTCCTTCGCTGTGTCTCAAATTGAGTCCCAAGGAGGCTGGGCCTTTTTCTCCCTACCTCAGCATACTGGCTGTGAGCCACCTTTGCCAGGGGGTGTAACTTTGGGCAAGGCCAATCCCAGAGACTGAGGGTGAATCCAATGAGGAATGCAGCTGTGAGCCATCAATAGCTGATAGTCCCAGAAGTCAGGGACTGGGTGAATGAGATCTAAAGAGGAGATCTTGGGGGAGCACCACAGTATTTACTACGCCACCAGCTGGTGAGCCAGATCCTACTAACATGCGCCTAGCCTGGATCAGAATTCATTCCAGAACAGGCCAGTAGGTTTAACGTCTTCAGTGCCTGCAAAGGAGATTAGCTGGGTATAGAAGGGACTGACCACTTGCCTCTATTCCAAAATAAAAACTTATTGAAAAGGAGTCATTTTAGTTCATTTAATTAAATTACCATTTTTATGGGCATGGCTTTTATATTCTTCCCTTTGTTCCTGCAGTTTGGAATGAAAGAGGAATGAAAAGAAGGAGGGAAGTTCGTTGGTTTATTGAGCACTCGGGTGTCAGGCCTTAACCCTTGGCAACTCTGCCCTTTTGCAGATGAAACTGAAGGTGGAGACAAGCACCAGGCTTGCAGTGTGAATTACTTCCCTCTTGTCACAATTTGGTGATTAATCAGCCGTGACTGCAGAATAAAATGGAAAGTAACTACGGGTAAACATGACACTCACATTAAATCAAGTTAGTTCATCCTGATTAACATGGCTTCCCTCGGAAATAAATAAATTAGTAGTCATCTCTGGTTTAAATTGCGTTCAAAAGAAAGGAGGGCTGAGGGATGCTACAGCCACTCTGGAAATTATTGCTTACATCCCTGAAACAGAAAAAATATCTTTTGACCCTGCAATTCTACCCTGACCATCCACAGCAGAGGGCAAGCTGAAGTTTGTTTACAGCTGAGGCGTGAGTCCTCCCAACCCACATTCAGAATGACTGTCCTGCTGGTCTGCAGAATCCAAGGTGATACGAAGCTGACTGCTCTGAATGTCTGTTCTCTCTTCCTGATGTGAATGGCTCCCTACAGGGCGGGGGTGCAGTGAGTGAAGCACTCATCTCTGGTGCTAAATTTAAGTGGTCACCAAAACACTCAGGAATCCTGACAAATATTTTTGAAAGTCAAAAGTAAGGCAAAAAAAAAGATATGATGAACAAGATATCTAAACTTTAAATAAAGACAAAATCAATTTATTGATTTTAACTTTTGCCTTAAGTTCCAACCTAGTTCATTACTGCACTGCTGAAGGGGAAGAGTATAATTTCAAGGTATTGGCTTAAATGGACTTTCTATCTTAAGTTATGGCCTCTAGGGCAATGGTTCTACAACTTTAGTGTACACCAGAGTCACCTGGAAAGCTTGTGAAAAGACAAGAGCTCAACCCCAAATCTAGAATTTTGATTTATTGAAAATGAGATGGGGCCTAAGAATTTGCATTGCTAACAAGTTCTAGGCAATAAGGCTGTTGCTGATGCAGTGCTATGGTCTGAATGTTGGTGCCCCTCCACATTCATATGTTGAAACCTAACCCCCAACAATAGTTTTAAGACATGGGGCCTTTAGGAGGTGCTTAAGTCAGTAGGGCAGAGACCTCGTGAATGGGATTGGTGCTCTTATAAAAGAAGTTGAAGGAAGCTGCCTTGCCCCTTCTGATGTGTGAAGACTCAGAACGAAGTACCATCTGTGAAGCAGAGAGTGAGCCTCCACCAGACACTGAATCTGTTGGTATCCTGATCTTGAACTTTCCAGCTTCCAGAACTGTGAGAAATTAAGTTTCTATTTTTTATAAATGACCCAGTCTAAGGTATTTTGTTATAGCAGCCCAAACAGACTAAGACATGCAGGAGCCACAACTTAAGAACCACTGTAGAGACAGCTGTATAAATAGTTAGCCAGTAAATCCCAAAGTAGGAGCTCAATTAAAAAAAAAAATATGGCCGGGCGCGGTAGCTCACGCCTGTAATCCCAGCACTTTGGGAGGCCAAGGCGGGCGGATCATGAGGTCAGGAGATTGAGACCACCCTGGATAACACGGTGAAACCCCGTCTCTACTAAAAATACAAAAAAAATTAGCTGGGCATGGTGGTGTACACCTGTAGTCCCAGCTACTCAGGAAGCTGAGGCAGGAGAATGGCGTGAACCCGAGAGGCAGAACTTGCAGTGAGCAGAGATCGCCCACTGCACTCCTGCCTGGGTGACAGAGCGAGACTCTGTCTCAAAACAAAACAAAACAAAAAACAAAAGAAAAACAGTTTCTGATAAGCTGAGTGAGTAAATGAAATGCATAATGCCAAGATCAGCTAGGAAGTGTATTTATTCTGAGTGGGACATCGAAAGTGAATTTCTGATCCCTCGTCTTCTTAAGAAGAACTTTCTTATTCACACTGAATGGGCTCATCTCTCTACTGCCCAATGCAGTACAAGGTGACATATTTTAGACAGCCTTGGAAGAACAGGGGTAGGCAGAGAGAACTCTGATCCCTACCCTGGTGCTCTAGGGTAAGGCAGAACCATGACAGAGGTTTGAATTGCAGTTTGATGCCAGAGGCCTTTATTCTTTAGAGCTCCCTTCCACTCATCCCTGCCTTTCGTGACATCTTTTACCCACGTGCTCTTCAGTCCTTTCCTACACTGACACCACTCAGAACTGGCTACCACCCAGACCTGGCTACACTCAGGGAAGTGGCCTCTTAGGCTACACTCAGAGAAAAGATTGGGGTAGAGATGGCAGAGCAGATATAGAGGAGACAACAATTCACTTCATGTCAGGAAAAAGGACATTTCAAAACCTAACCATGGGTTAAGTACTCAATTTCCAGGCTCTATGAAGGTGTCATTGCTACTAATTGAAAACTCACTCTTTACACTTTATTGACAGTCTTTTTTGAATCACATCAGGCAGGGGACTCGGAAAGGGGTTATTTACAGTGACATACAGTTTAAGTAACGTTCTTTTGATTTAGGCTGACAGTCCATGATTTTAAGACATGGTTTGTTGCAATTTAAAAATCTAAATAATTGTTTCAGTTGCGTAGAAAGGTCAAATCATAAATCTGGAAACATGAGAAAATATTAGCATTCATTGCTATTCTAAAATTTTTATTCTTCCTACTTATATGGATACTTGCAAATCAACTAGGCTGTGGGTTTATGTAGTTACCATTCCCATTACAATAACGCAGGGGATGACTATAATGTAGTCATCCTGAAAATAAAGCAAAAAAAAGCACGCTATCAGAAAGAAATAGATTCAAAGGAAGCCAGCAATAGTAGAGAAAAATACTCAGCTATTTCCCCCTTATCTCTTCTTCAAACCTCTCATTTCTAGGAAGGAGAAAAATCATGACTCCTATGATTCTATGTTGTTCTTTCGGCCTGAAGAGTCCCAGAAGGAAAGAAAAGAATAGGGAGTTGTAAGATTTTATATATATATATACACACACACACACACACACACACACACACACACGATTTTAAGATATGACATTATATATGATTTTAAACTATATACACACATATACATATATATTTTGTATATACATATGTATATATGTACATATGTGTATATATAAATGGATATATGTTTAGCTAATTGTTTATTACTGGACTTGTTCCACAATAGGCTGGAAGTATTAGTGAGGATGCTAATTTGACATAAATGCAGAGGTTCAGCCAGAGATTGTAACCAGTAAGCTGAAAGTGATTGGAAATTCAGAGGGACCTCTTTTCTCCATATTGGATCTCTGTTCTTTGTTGGACATCTGCTTAATACTTCTATATTTGCTGATCAGCTTACATAAAAGAAGGTTGATGTACCAGCACTTCCAAGGTTATTAATTGTGTCACAAGAAATAGTCTAGACTGAGACTGTGGTAGCTTCATTCCAATTCTCTGTTATGGAGGAGTGCACTCTGATTGGCTCAGTTTGCTGCAGGTGTTCAATCAACAGCAGTTGGATGGGGAGTCATGTTGTATTCACCTAGCTGCCTGGGAGTTCTGCTTAGGTGGGATGATTTCTAGATAAAGTGAGCAATTCTCAGCCCTTGGGCTGAAAGAACACCCCCAAATTATCCCTTACACTGAATAAACACTTGGCAAGAATGTGGAAATCAAGCATCAGATATGATTTTCAACCAAACAGCCTTCCAGGTCTCCTCTAATGCCATAATTCCACAATTGACAAGAAAAGATGAAGAGAATCCGAGAGGAGTGGCAGCACTGGATTGTGCCTACCTTAGTGACATTTGGAAGATTAATTAGACATTTTAGTAAGAGCTTTGAAGATGAAAAGGGCTGAAAACAGCATTAAGTCTTTACTACCAAGTCCTGGGAAAGTAGGTTAGGAGATGAATTAGCATCAAGGCTGTAATGTTGTAATGACATTCACTGAAAAATTGACTACACTGTGTTTTACAGGATATCTTTCACCTCAAAGAAGACTTATATGAGGCCCAAGAAACTGGAGTTTAGAAAGGAGAAGAAGCTAAGATTTTAGGTTTACCAAATAACCTTAAGATCCATTCATTATACTCATTTCAACATATAATCAATCTTTCACAGATTGGGGGTTTGAACCTGGATCAATTCCTGTAGATGATCTTTTCCTCCTTCCTCATTTTACAGATTACAGACTTAAAGCCTAGAGAGGTAATAGCATAACTGGTCCTATTATTTGGGTCTCCTAATTCCCATTTCAGTCACAGAAAGCAGAGAATATTTCTCTACGTGGTGTGATTTGTGATTTGGGAGATTCTGGGAAGCCTTTTCTCAGCAACTTGAAAATATTTTCTGTACTAGCCTATTACGCTAGGAACCACACCAATTCTAATTCTTAATATTCTATTAAGCACTGCTTCTACAGATGTTCCTCTTTTAAGAAGAAAGCATTGCAAAAGCAGGTAATAAATTAATTTGGTAGTCCATTATTATGTTTATTGGAATAACAAAGGAAATAGATTTAGGAATCCAATAAATAAGGGACTGAATTTCAGTTCTACCACTAACCAGCTGTGGGACTTTTTGCAGGTTTTTTCAATCTGGGAGTGCCAGGTTTACCATTTGAAAAAATGGGGAAAATAGCAGTATCAATTTCATAGGGTAGATAGGATTAAACAAAATAATGCATTAAAGCCAAACTTAGCCCCATAATAAGCACTGAGTAAATAACATGTAAATGGTAAGCACTGATTAAATAGTAGGTACTATCATCATCATCCTCTTTTTCTACCACAAATTTTATTGAAGCAATTTCTTCTCAGTGGAGGGATAAACTTGCAGTAACAGGAGAAGGAAAGTAAGTACAGGAAGGGAGATTTGGAATACCAAAAGAGAAACATTTCATACTTCCTAGTTTATAAGATAATCGGTCTGGCTTATGTTAACCAAATCAAAACTCTCATAAGCACCCATGGATTAAACAAAAACAAAAAGAAAAGCAAAAATTAAAAAAAAGAAAACTTGTAAATTTATTTAATTTCCTTATAGACTCTGGATATGAGACCTCTGTCAGAAGGATAGCTTGCAAAAAATTTCTCCCATTCTGTAGGTTGTCTGTTTACTCTGATGATAGTTTCTTTTGCTATGCAGAAGTTGTTTCATTTAATTAGATCCCATTTGTCAATTTTTGCTTTTGTTGTAATTGCTTTTGATGTTTTTGTCATGAAATTTTTGCCCATGCCTATGTCCTGAATGGTGTTGTCTAGATTTTCTTCTGGGGTTTTTATAGTTTTAGGTTTTACATTTAGATCTTTAATCCATCTTTAGTTAATTTTTGTATAAGATGTAAAAAAGGGGTCCAGTTCCGATTTTCTGCATATGGCTAGCTGGTTCTCCCAGCACAATATATTAAATAGGAATCCTTTCCCCATTGCTTGTTTTTGTCAGGTTTGTCAAAGATCAGATAGTTGTAGATGTGAGGTCTTATGTCTGAGGTCTCTATTCTGTTCCATTGGTTTATGTGTCTGTTTTTGTACTAGTACCATGCTGTTTTGGTTACTGTAGCTTTGTAGCATAGTTTGAAGTCAGGTAGCGTGATACCTCCAGATTTGTTCTTTTTGCTTAGGATTGTTTTGGCTATACAGACTCTTTTTTATTCCCTATGAACTTTAAAAAAAAAACCATACGAACTTTAAAATAGTTTTTTCTACTTCTGTGAAGAATGTCAATGGTAGTTTGATGGGAATAGCATTGAATCTGTAAATTACTTTGGGCAGTATGGCCATTTTCATGGTATTGATTCTTCCTATCCATGAGCATGGAATATTTTTCCATTTGTTTGTGTCCTCTCTTATTTCCTTGAGCAGTGGTTTGCAATTCTCCTTGATGAGGTCCTTCGCTTCCCTTGTTAGCTGTATTCCTAGGTATTTTATTCTCTTTATAGCAATTGCGAATGGGAGTTCATTTATGATTTAGCTCTTTGCTTGTCTGTTGTTAGTGTATAGAAATGCTTGAGATTTTTGCACTTTGATTTTATTTTCTGAGACTTTGCTGAAGTTGCTTATTAGCTTAAGAAGGTTTTGGGCTGAGATGATAGAGTTTTCTAGATATAGGATCATGTCATCTGCAAACAAAGGCAATTTGACTTCCTTACTTCCTATTTGAATACCCTTTATTTTTTTCTCGTGCCTGATTGCCCTGGCCAGAACTTCCAATACTATGTTGAGTAGGAGTGGTGAGAGAGGGCATCTTTGTCCTGTGCCGTTTTTCAAAGGGAATGCTTCCAGTTTTTGCCCATTCACTATAATATTGGCTTTGGGTTTGTCATAAATGGCAAAATAATAAATTTTGAGGTATGTTCCTTCAATACCTAGTTTATTGAGAGTTTTTAACATGAGAGGATGTTGAATTTTATTGAAGGCCTTTTCTGCATCTATTGAGATAAACATGTGGTTTTTGTCTTTAGTTCTGTTTATGTAATAAATTACATTTATTGATTTGCATATGTTGAACCAATCTTGCATCCTGAGGATGAAACCGACTTGATTGTGGTGGATAAGCTTTTTGATGTGCTGCTGGATGCGATTTCCCGGTGTTTTATTGAGGATTTTTGCATCGATGTTCATCAGGGATATTGGCCTGGGGTTTTCTTTTTTTGTTGTATCACTGTCAGGTTTTGGTATTAGGATGATGCTGGCCTCATAAAATGAGTTAGGGAATTGTCCCTCCTTTTCTACAGTTGGGAATAGTTTCAGAAGAACTGTTACCAGCTCCTCTTTGTACTTCTGGTGGAATTTACCTGTAAATCCCTCTGGTCCTGAACATTTTTGGGTGGTAGGCTATTCATTACTACCTTGACTTCAGAACTCATTATTGGTCTATTCAAGGATTCAGCTTCTTCCCGGTTCAGTCTTGGGAGGGCGTATGTGTTCAGGAATTTACCCATTTCTTTTAGATTTTCTAGTATATTTGTGTAGAGCTGTTTATAGTATTCTCAAATGGTTGTCTATATTTCTGTGGGGTCAGTGGTTATATCCCCTTTATCTTTTTTTATTGTGTCTCTGTGATTTCTCACTATTTTCTTCTTTATTAGTCTAGCTAGAAGTCTATTTTATTAATTTTTTTCAAAAAAAACAGCTCCTGGATTCATAGATTTTTTGAAGGAATTTTTAATCAATATCTCCTTTAGTTCAGCTCAGATCTTGGTTATTTCCTGTCTTCTGCTAGCTTTGGGGTTTGTTTGCTCTTGGTTCTCTAGTCATTTTAGTTGTGACGTTAAGATGTTAATTTGAGATCTTTCTAGCTTTTTGATGTGGGCATTTAATGCTCTAAATTTCCCTATTAATACTGCTTTAGCTGCATCCCAGAGATTCTGGTATGTTGCCCCATTAAAAAGTGGGGCAGGCTGGGTGCAGTGGCTCACGCCTGTAATCCCAACACTTTGGGAGGCCGAGGTGGGTGGATCATGAGGTCACGAGATCGAGACCATCCTGGCTAGCACAGTGAAACCCCATCTCTACTAAAAATACAAAAAATTAGCCGGGTGTGGTGGCAGACGCCTGTAGTCCCAGCTATTCAGGAGGCTGAGGCAGGAGAATGGCATGAACCCGGGAGGCGGAGCTTGCAGTGAGCTGAGATTGTGCCACTGCACTCCAGCCTGGGCAACAGAGTGAGACTCTGTCTCAAAAAAAAAAAAAAAAAAAAAAAAATTGGGGCAAAAGACCTGCACAGACACTTCTCAAAAGAAGACATTTATATGGCCAACACACATATGAAAGAAAGCTCAACATCACTTATCATTAGATAAATGCAAATTAAAGCCACAGTGAGATACCATCTCATGCCAGTCATAATGGCAATTATTAAAAAGTCAAGAAAAAACAGATGCTGACAAAGCTGCAGAGAGATAGGTATGCTTTTACACCATTGGTGGGAATGTAAATTAGTTCAACCACTGTGTAAGACAGTGTGGTGACACCTCAAAGACCTAGAACCAGAAATATCATTTGACCCAAGAATACCATTACTGGGTATATACCCAAAGAAATATAAGTCATTCTATTATAAAGATACATGCATGTATATGTTCATTGCAGCACTATTCACAATAGAAAAGACATGGAATCAACCCAAATTCCCATCAATGATAGACTTGATAAAGAAAATGTGTTACATATACACCATGTGATACTATGCAGCCATAAAAAGGAAAAAGATTATGTCCTTTGCAGGGATATGGATGGAGCTGGAAATCATTATCCTCAGCAAACTAATTCAGGAACAGAAAACCAAACACCACATGTTCTTGCTTATAAGTGGGAGCTGAACAATAAGAACACATGGACACAGGGAGGGGAACAATACACACTGGGGCCTGTTGAAGGGGGTTGGGGGAGGGAGAGCATCAGGAAAAATAGCTTGTGTGTAATGGGAGACCATAAGTGGTGTCTACGGAAGGGGATGTCATGTTTAAGAAGGATAATCTTGGCAAAGGAAATTTACTTTTATGAATTTCATTCATAAAAGGGCATGTTTAATTTACTCTATAGAAGCCAAAATGCTTTGTCAGGCAGCTACTCTAAGATGAGATAGTCAAGTGGTTGGAACCTCCAGTAGAGAAAACCTTTACCCATGTATCATGTCATCAATGAAACTTAAGTTTTACATTAGGCGAACCTGTGGCGCGGTGAAAAGTATACTGGTCTAAGAGGAGGAATCTGAGTTGAAGTCCTAGCTCTGCTATTTATTCCCTATGTAACTGGGATTAAGTCACTTAAACTTTCTGGGTCTCAGATTTCTTAGCTATAAAATGAAGATAAAACTTGTCCTATAACACTTAGCTATTGTGTGTAAATGAAATAATCATGTGAATATACTTGAAAAGTGGTACATAAATGAAGATGTGTGTATATGCTCTGATTTCTAGCTCATTATCAGATAAATCACATAGCCCCTCATTTGGTTTTCCAAGGATCCTCTGGTCAACAAAAGGTTTGCTGAGAGATAAAGACTAATTCCTTCCTTTGTAAAATTTACAAAATTGTCCCAAAGCGTTTCTTAGCAAAAAGAGATGGTAGTTAGTTCACTATTCACTGTAAATTCTCTTGATTTCTATAGAGTGGCCATATTTTACCCATTTTTCCTTCTATTCCTTTCACCTTGGAATCTTCTATAATACCGAGGATTGTTCTAACCACGTGACTCAAATAGGATCTGCTATAAGGACTGAACAGGTGATTGTATGTGACAAAAACTAGGTATCAAAATTGTTCTCTGCAGTATGTCAAATTTGAACCAAGGAGCAGGAGTTCCTTCCTTTAGATGACATTTGCTGTTGCTGGAGCATTATGAAAATAGTGGTCTACAATAGATAAAATGCAGCCAACATACAGAGCGAATCAAATGCAGTTGATGGAAAAAGCTTCTGCAGTGGTGCCTAGAACCACACGTGACTAAAGCCATATTCATCTTCCCTTTCCTGTGATTTGATTTACAAACGTATACGTTCTTCTAGCCTTAATCTCACTGATGTCAATTTCCACCATTTACAAATTTTAAAAAAGTCCATCACACATTATGAGTTGTATTTTATTTTAGTGGACACTTACTTGCTGTTGTATTTTGAGCAAGTATGGTAATTTTAAAACATGGCCCCAAAATATTTTGACATTCCTTTCATCAAAAGATAGCTTTTATGTCCCTTTCCCTGAAGTCTTGGTGGGCTTCTAATTACTTCAACCGATAGAGTATGGAGGAAGCGATGCTGTGTAATTCCTGATGCTGCTCAGAAGGGTCAGGTCATTTCTACTTGATCTTGTGCAACACTTTATCTGGAGAGGCTGTCCATCATATAAGAAGTAGGGCTATCTTAAGACCACCATGCTATAGAGGCTACATGTAGGTATTCTGGTCAACAGTCCCCTGAGAGGTCCCAGTTGACAGCCAGTCACATCTGCCAGTCATTAAGTGAACCATCTTGAAAGTCCAGCCCAGTCTAGACTTCCAAGGACTGAAGACCCAGTGGCTACTACCAACAAATTGACTATGAGTGAGAACTGCAAGTTCTTTTCCTGACCAAATACTCTGGGTGACATAGAAAAAAGAAAAACAAAGTTCTTTAAAATCCCTAAGTTTGGAGGCAAATTCTTATGCAGAGTGACAAGTTACTTAAAAGCTTTGAGGATTTTGGAGATCATCTATAAAATTGAGGTAACATTCCTCTTTAGAGTCAATTTAAGAAATTAATGAGATGGAACCTGAAAGGTACCTCACAGTGTATCTCTCTGTCACGGACTCTCAATAAATATCCCTCTCCTTACCTTCCTCCCAGTGAGATTATCTAAATAAAAGGGATTTTATAGACTGTAGGAAGTTTTTCCAATATTTATTATTGTCTTCCTGGACCCATTGTCCAAAAAATATATTCCCAGAAAACCCAGTCAGTCACTGGTCTGAGGCATACTCAGAAGCTTTCTCTTATTGTTGGATCATTTATCCATAGCCTTTCTTCAGTGTCCACAAGTTCTTAGTGACCATCATGTTTACACTAATGTTCCATTTCTTTCTTCTGTAGGGAGTACTTAAAGACAGAGATGATGTTTTGCAAAATAATCATTTAGTTCTATAAGTAGATCAACAAGTCATAAATGCTTGTTGAAGTTCAAGGGTAGATATTTGAATTTTCCATGGTAGGAGTAAATCATGTACCTCATTAGAATCAAGAACATGGTTGTTTTGTTCCCTACATGCTGTCTTCTTGTTCTACCAGTTTATGATAATTTTGTTTTGTTTTGTTTGTTTTTGTGTAAAGTGATGTCAAAAGAAGCTATCATGATTTCTCTTTGCTATCAAGTTAAAAGGAGAAGGGTTCAAGGCTTCTGATGAGAAAATCACATCAGCCAGAGAAACTGACAGTAATCGGAACAACTCCTTTCTCAAGTAAAAAAAGCCTTAGATTTTAAAAAGAAAAAGAAATGAGAAAGAATGTATGTAAGTAGACAAAGATAATGAAACCTTTCTCAGCTGTCTCTAACTCATGGACACGTCAAGAAATTAAGAGACATTTCATGATGAGCTGGAGTATTAGGACTATATTTGCTGAATTTATTTTTTCATGGTTCAATGATGAAACAGTAAATTCCACAAATAGATTTCAAGTTTGGTCAAGCATTTTGGCTTTTGAACATTAATCTCCTGAGCAGTGAGCTCTGTACATGCCTGGGAAGGTTCAACACAACAATGACATGTGACAGCCAAACATCCAAGCACTGAGCAATTTAGATTCTCATATCACCAAATGGGATTTTGTGGGTGGAGGAGAAGGAAGGACCCGAAGTTATTTTGCTGTTATTCTGTTACAGCTCTTTCTTCTCTGTGTTGATGCTGCCAAAAGCTATGCTGGCAGCACACTGGATTTTCAGTGTTTATATTAACTCGTCTTAATCAAGGAATCCTGACTTAACCTTATTCTTTCTCACAGACACAGTTCAATGCTGCAATGGAGCCTGTGGTGAGCACTGATTCAATAGGTGGTTTGCCTCCTTAGACGCAGAATCACAGGACTAGAAGGAGTGAAAACAACACTTTATCTCTACATTGGCTTCAGGGAGGACAGTGCCCAAACCACCTCAAGTACAGAATAATTTACTCTCATTTAGAAGATCTCCAGACAGAGCTCGAATGGCTCCCTTGGCAACAAATTTTAGTTTTAACAATCTTTGTAGCTTTATCCTTCCCTCCAGATAATGCCATAACTGTGTACTCTAGATTAAACGTTTTCTCCTTTTCTGCCCACAGTGCTTTTGAAGCCAAACATGATTTCACATATAGTGTTGGGTCATCATTAAGTCACCTTTCAGAAGTCCCTCTAAATTAAGGAGTCCTCATCCTTTCCTTAAATTTTTCATGTGTCCTGACCTATGAGAATCTGTTATACGCATGTTTAATTTCTATGGAATACCTCATCATACAACTTGAAATTCTGATTGACTAGTGGTTTTTTTCCTGCATAAGTGCTACTTCATCTATGCCTCAGTAACAAACAACAACAATCACTTAATGGAAATGGTGGCAGGCAGAATTCTAAGATAGCTGCCAGATTCCTGCCGCCCCTGGTGTGCATTCCTTGATAATCACTCTCCTTTGAGTGCAGGCAGACCTGTGTGTATGATACCACTGCTATGATTACATTGCTCATCAGGCGACTGTGAGCTAGCCAAAATGGAGAATATTCTGGTGGGTCTGACCTAGCCAGGTGAGCCCGTTTCTGAGTCATAGAGATTGAAAGTGTGAGAGGGATTTGATGTGAGGGGGAATTCTCTGTTGCTGGTTTTGAGTATAAAAGGGGCCATATAATAAAGACTTGAGAGTGGTCACTAGTTGCTGAGATCCATCCCTAATTGAAGCTAGCAAGAAACACTTCTACCAACAACTTGAAGGAATTTGGAAAAGAATCCTTCCCTAGTCAAGTCTCTAGAGGGGAATGCAGCTAACTGACACCTTGATTTCAGCCTCGTGAGACCCTGAACAGAGATATCAACCACTCAGTTGCCTGGACCTCTGACAGAAATGAAAGATAATAAATGTCTGTTGTTTTAAGCCACTAAGTTTATGGAAATTTGTTACACAGCAATGGAAAACCAATATAGGCCCCTATCCATGAGTTACATTGTAGTAAACACCTTTCCTACATTATAGATATCTCATCTAACTCCTACAGCAACCCTTGAGGTAATCACTGTGTCCATTGTCAGAGCAAGAAAACTGAAGCTCGGCTTCATAAACAGAAGCAGCAAGGATTGATTCCTTAAATACTGTGAATTCCACTCTCACTTTATTTGAATTTGTGACAGTGAAATTCACAGTATTCTTTAAACATTTTACCCCCAAGCGATGCTCTTTCCTCTGAATTGCTTTGCCTGTCCTAATAATTTTATTTATACAGGCTGATGCTGGTGACTTGGGAATAGTATTTTTATCCAAACCATTTGGCTTCTTATAGGTATGAGCCACTGAGGGAGCTATTTTTTATTTAATTGTGCTTTGGAAAAATCAAACGTAGCCTTGAGTTTTAAAATTATTAAGCTTACACTTTTTCACAAAATAGAAATGGAGTAATATAGCTCTGTCCTTCCGTTTTTTAAAGCCAAAAAATGTAAGAATGGAATGTACTGGCTCACTGCTCCCACGGTGTCCTTACCAGCACAACTTACCCCATCCCTCCCTAGCCCACTCTTGAGGATACTTTCTTGCCACTGTCAGGCTTACTCCTGCCTCCTAGACTGAGGAAAGAAAAGCCTCCTGGTTTGGAGCTCATAATCAAGTCAGCCTTGCTGCAGGGCTCATTTTAAGCCAGTATCCTGGACCAGGTGAGTCTTTTTATTCATCTCTGCTTTGTATCCAAGTTCCATTTATCAGGTTACTAACTGGCCCCATCATGCATTCCTTCAGTAATTACTTTATTTTTAGCACTGCCAAGAAAGCAAGTCTTTTCCTACAAAAACACAGGATTTCCAGTGGGGTTAAATAAATGTGCCTATGTTCTCACTTGAGACAGCAAAAAGGGAAGGAGCGAAAATTGTGGAAAGAATTGAAGACAGAGGGTAGAGGGTAGGGTGCCAAGTGTGGGGGAAAACTGAATTATGAATATTAAGGAAAAATGAAAAATAATATTAAACTGAAATGGAGAGAAATAATATAAGTGAGAATAGAAAAACATAAAACAACCTTCCCCAAAACAAAGGATAAAGAAAAAAGAATTCAGGGGAAGCTGTAAATATCTAAGACATAGCAGCAAGGGCCTGGGAATACTTATAGTGTTTGAAGTTCTGAGCTTTATTTCGCTGCAGTGAGGATCTTAAAGATGCTTAAACATATGAATAAGCAACAAAGTAATGTGACCGTTCAGCTACAGGAAAGGGGTCCCAATCCAGGATCCAGACCCCAAGAGAAGGTTCTTGGATCTCTCACAAGAAAGAGTTCAGGGCGAGTCCATAGAGTAAAGTGAAAGCAAGTTTCTTAAGAAAGTAAAGAAATAAAAGAATGGCTACTCCATAGACTGCATCCACGACGGCTGCTGGTTGCCCATTTTTATGGTTATTTCTTGATGATATGCTAAACAAGGGATGGATTATTGATGCCCTCCCTTTTTAGGCCATATAGGGTAACTTGCCATGGCATTTGTAAACTGTCATGACGCTGGTGGGAGTGTAGCAGTGAGGACGACCAGAGGACACTTTCATTGCCATCTTGGTTTTGGTGGGTTTTAGCCATCTCCTTTACTGCAATCTGTTTTATCAGCAAGGTCTTTATGACCTTTATCTTGTGCCGACCTCCTATCTCATCCTGTGACTTAGAATGCCTTAACCATCTGGGAATGCAACCCAGTAGGTTTCAACCATATTTAACCAGCTTCTATTCAAGATGGAGTTGCTCTGGTTCAAACGCCTCTGACAGTTTTCAGAGATTATTGTCAATTCAGGAGTCAAATCATTAGAGACTTTACAAAAAATCAGATGAGGGTAATAAAACTTATGATAATATAATATTGACATTTTAACACTAGGTATAAATATTGTTCTAAGCATTTTAACTAATTTAATCCTGAAAAAAAAAGTCCTCTATAGTTATTACTATTTTTATGCCTATTTTACAGATAAGGAAGCTGAAGCTTTGAGAATTTAATTTGCTCAAGGGGAGGCCAGGACAAGAAATAATGAAGAGTCCGATGTGGCAGGAATGTAGGAAACAAGTCAATGATGGAAGATAAATATGGAGACGTGATGAAGGCAAAATTCTGAAGGGTCTTAGAGCCCATTATAAGACGTTTGGTTTTTATGGTTAGTGAGAAGGAAAACCATTGGGGGTGGTTGGGCAGAAGAGTAATATGACTTGACTTATATTAAAAAAATAATTTGGTGGCTAGGTTGAGAATATATGTAAGCAGGAGTGGGGTTGGGGGTGAGTGGCTGGGGCTGTTTATATCAAGGGTGGATCCAGGCAGACCAGGCAGGAAGGCATTGCAATAATCCAAGCAAAGGGAGAGGGTGTCTTGGTCACTAAACTGATGCCAGATATGAATTAGCTATACTAGAAGATAGTGAGAGATGGTACATAAAATCATACACATTTATTGCAACTGTATGTATTCCTTAATTACAATTTACTACATATAGACTAATCTAGATGAGCGCTTTCTAGGTACTCTTTAGTAAATTCATAGTCAACTCATAATAATGAATATGGTGGTCATTTTTTACAAAGCAACTTCCTGTGCATTACTTTGAAAACAATCCAATAAGGTATATGTGGCAAATACTACTCCTGCAATTTAACATGAAAAAAACAGACTTGGTGAACTTAGAGCTTGGCTTACCAGTATAATATCAACTATACGTCCTTTCTCCACTGAACTCAACTTCCTAACTAAGCTTGTGCCAAGGGGCATTTCAAGATAAAAATGAAAAAAGAGGCTACATCTTCCAGGATAAAGACTTTGGTCTGAAAGTAACATGTGCATTAAAAGTTCAACTTTGATAAAAGTTACAAATCACTATACAGAAGACCTATTAAATGAAATAGACCCCAAATAAACACAACAAAGGCTTTTCTTTTGTAAGATGATTTTAAGTTAAAATACTGAAGAACCTTTTGAGAAAGTGCTCAGAACATTTCCTCTGCTCACTGCAGCTGCAAGAATCAGCACAAACATCCACATCCTATTAGCTTTGATTTCCAACTCATGGAAACCCAACCTGTCGGTTTTTCTCTTTTTTCCCAATACATAGTGACATTAACTCAGCCTTTTCTTCAGAAGTCTTCTTTTCTTGGCTGTTAAATAGATTATCACCTCTCTCATGACAAGGCCAAGAATCAGGTGAGGCACTCATCTTGAGCACAAAATTTAAGGGGGAAAAACTCAATGATCAAGACAATATTTTAATGTGATTTTTAAAAAACCAAAATCCATAGAAGAATATCACAGGCTAGGCGTGCTTGCTCCTGCCTGTAATCCCAGCACTTTGGGAGGCTGAGGTGGGCGGATCACTTTAGGTCAGGAGTTCAAGACCAGCCTGGCCAACACGGCAAAACCCCCATATTTAATAAATATACAAAAATTAGCTGGGTGTGGTGGCATGCACCTGTAATCCCAGCTACTCGGGAGGCTGAGGCAGTAGAATGGCTTGAACCTGAGAGGCGGAGCTTGCAGTGAGCTGAAATCAGGTCACTGCACTCCAGCCTGGGCAACAGAGTGAAAGTGTGTCAAGAAAGAAAGAAAGAAAGAAGGAAGGAAGGAAGGAAAGAAAGAAAGGGAAAGAGAAAGAAAGAAGAAAGAAAGAGAAAGAAAAAGGAAGAAAGAAGAAAGAAAGAGAAAGAAAAAGAAAGAAAGAGAAAGAAAAAAGAAAGAAGGAAAGAAAGAGAGAGAGGGAGGGAAGGAGGGAAGGAGGGAGGGAGGAAGGAAGGGAGGAAGGGAGGGAGGGCGGAAGGAAGGAAGGGAGGAAGGAGTCACAATTTTAAAGACAGTGTCAGTGTTACTGAATAACCTTTTGCCTCAAGTTCCAATAGGGCTGAGTACAACACTGGAAAGTGATATTTCCTTCTGATGTTTTATGTTTCAATATTCTTTCTGCATGTATATTCAGTAGACGCTATAGGTAGTTTATCTCAGGTGAGGCTGAAATATAAAGAGAATAAGAATGGAGATAGGGCAAATCTTGTGTCTTACAGAATATATTGGCCACTCCATGTTTTTCCTTTAATATGTTACAATTCTCTAAAGCATCACAAAATGAAACCTGTCATCATCTTAATCTCTGTTACACAGAGCAAACACCAAGCAGGCATGACCACGCCCTCCCTACACTGGTAGTTGAGATGCTGCAATGCAGCATATTAAAAAATAGTGCTGACTTGTATGGCACCACTTTGCTTATGCTCTGAATGCTGGAAGTAAATGCTGACTATCTGGAGATAATAATAATATGACTTTTGAATAAGCAAGGCACAAACAGCAATTATACAGTTAACACAAGCTATGACTGTCAAGCAATTGTTATGCTTAGCACAATTGCTTGAACCATTAATTAGAGTACAGCATTTCCTCTTGAGATAATGCTGATTAAAATGTACATACACTCTTCTGGAAGATAACTTCAGGGTTGACGTGAAAACAGCAAAGACAGATTTCAAATAAATACCTTTGCAACAAAGGTATTTTGTACAGAGGGGAATGCTTGTCTCCCTGCCCTGTTGAGAGCTGATTATCACAGGGTCATTTTGTGGTTGGCTGGGCAAGTTTTCCAGAAAGATAAAAGAGATGAAGAATGAGGATAGGAGTCAACTAAATTCTTAGCAGCTAACAAACAATTTTCTTTGGAGTTGACTTTCTCTTTAATCTTTTGTAATTGCAGATACATAATTCAATGTGCTTTTATAAAATATACATGCCATTTTCCCTGTAAACAGGTATGAGAGCTGACCTCAGCAATTAGCAAAATCCTCATACACACTGATTTAACCGACCCAGTGTGCATCCAGAAACCACTGCAGCATGAGTTTGCGGGGACTTTGGGGTCTTTAAATACTCATTAAACATTACAACTAGCTAGGACTCTTTTGGGGGACCAATGGAGGCGCTTTGCTGAGCTGCTCCCTGATGTTGTAAAATGCAAAAAGTGAGTAAGCAGTCACAGTGCACCCTGCTTCCTTATAGTATAGGGCCTCGCCCTTCAAACTGTCATCTGAGGACCAGCAGTATCAACATCCCCACAGAGCTTGTTAGAACTGCAGACTTGCAGGCCCTACTCTAGATCTATTGCATCACAATTTGCATTTTAACTAGATCTCCATGTAATTATTATGCACATTATAGTTCAAGAAGTACTGGCCTAAGAACATTTTGCTCACAAATCTGGGCTTAGAAAGCCATCCTTGTGACTGGAGGAAAATATCGAAAGAGTGACATGATCTGAAACTGGAAACAAATGCAAAGCAGGTGTGAGCCATTAGAAATGCAGCAGCCCTTCAGCTCGGCAAGGAGATTACAAGGCTGTATAGTTAATGGGTAGGTAACTTAGTAAATAGGAGACTTTGTTGTAGATAAAATCATTGTTAGGTATTTGGAAATTATGAGGAATAATATATATAATGCCCTAGGGGTGAGTAGGGGTGATTGCTGGAAGTCTCTTACAGACTGAGCAGGTAAGAAGAAGAAAGGAGAAGAAACCTTCTTCTGGTTTTTGTGTTTGTGGCTGCAGACTATGCCGTGCAAGACTTGGTAAACTGGTCCCTACCGCAGAGGATTTTATACAGAGCACGCTAGTGGCTCACAGGTAGTGTCTTATTGAATGTTGAATTTCCACACTTTTGACTGCATGAATCAGTAAATACTTGGGTTTATTTTGCCACATAGAGGTCTACATTGGTTTGATACAAGTAAATAGCAATAATGATAAGAGTCACTGCCATTAATGGAGTGTCTCCTTGATACCAGACACTGTCTCAGATAACTTGAATTAACTCTTTAAACCCACATGGCCCTGGTCCTGAAAGGTGGTATTATTCATTTTTATAGATGAGGAAACTGAGACACAGGCAACACTACTTCAACATTGGCCCCAAACCATTTTTATTTGCCCTGAGTAATTTGCTAGTTCTCCTCTTTCAGTATGCCAGTCTTCTCTATCCATTGGTCTATAGTTGGTTGCAATTCGTCTTTGTCACCTGTTCCTGACACTGACCAATTACTGACCATATCTCCCTATTCTCTGCCATGTGATAACCTTTGGTTCTCCCAAATAAACTCTTTCCTTATCTCTACTCTATTGAAACCAACCACCCCTCTCTCCACACAGAATATTTCACTGATTGCCTTGCCCGCTTCTCAAAGGCCCACTTCTCTGTGGAATGATGCAGTTGCTAAGAAGAGCTGTTAATGTCATGACCTCAATGAATAAAAAAGACTTCCTTTTCTCCATGCCCACTCAAGTAAAAGGCTTCTCTCTGAACTCCTGCTAATTTTTCATCAGCAAAGGTGCACAGCCTTTTGGAAGTGAAATGATTACTAGTGAAGAAAAAGAAAGAACCTAACACTTATTTTACAGTAAGTAGCAAGTTGATCTCCATTAGGGTCAACCCTCTGGGGTGCTCTGGCCCTTCCCTTTATGTTCTGAGACAGATACATCCCTGAGAAAATTCTAGTCTCTTCTAATCCTGGAATAATTTAGGGAAGCAAGTCTTGAACTTCTTCCATCAAAGCCCAAGAAGTAACCATAAAAGATGTCTTAAGGGTTCTAGAAACACATCACCAAGGGGATTGGATAAAAATGTGAAATTTGTTTAAAACCTGAAATGTTCACTTTTAAAAAGCATGCAAATTGTGACTACCCTTCCACAATGTATTTGTTTTACTGCAAAAATAATTTAAATGTCTTTCAGATTAAATTATGAAAATATTTACCTCCAAATTTTGGCATGAAGTTAAAACTCCTGGATAATGTGCTATGTTTATTCTGTGGGTTTTTATATCCCTGGCACACTGCCATGTATCTTGCCGAATAGCCAAATATTAGGATATTATACTACCCTGATGATTTTGCTAAATAATTATTATGCCAAACAAGACAGTAATTCAAAGAAGGACAAGTGTCTGAACTCTTGTTCTTTCAGAAAGCTTAAGAGTAGTAGTGAGTGCATCTGCTGCGTGACTCCTGCAATCTCAGCATCTGTTTCTAGTTAGAGAGCCAGTGAGTAAATTGAATCAGGGTCACTGAAGCAGGTGTTCTTGGTGAATTGCAGAGCCTCCCAGTGACCACTCTTCAGACAAAACTTCTTATAATAGCTTCCTTCCCTGAATCTTTTGCGAAACATCAAATCACAAAGAGATCTTATTGTGAGTATTACCTAAAATTTTTTCCTGTCTTATGTAGCAAAGAGGGAAGTCACTGAGTCAGCTTAGATATGTGTATGTGTTCTAAAAAAAATGAATGTATCCATGTGACTTTTTTTTCTTTTTTTTTTTTTTTTGAGATGGAGTTTTGCTCTGTCACCCAGGCTGGAGTGCAGTGGCGTGATCTCTGCTCACTGCAACCTCCACCTCCTGGGTTCAAGTGATTCTCCTGCCTCAGCTTCCCGAGTAGCCTGCCACCACACGTGGTTAATTTTGTATTTTTAGTAGAAATGGGTTTTCACCATGTTAGCCAGGCTCGTCTCAAATTTCTAACCTTCAGTGATCTGCCTACCTTGGCCTCCCAAAGAGCTGGGATTACAGGAATGAGCCACCGCACCTGGCCCCATGTGACTTTAATATTTTACTGCATATCTTCCTCGGCAAATAACTAAATCCTGTCATGTGGGAGGGAGTTTGGAAATAGTGCTTAGGAACCACCCACTATCTCATTTGTGAAGTCCGTTGCCACTTGCGGGGGGCGCCAGGCAATGACATCAACAGACTTATCTGGTTATGTCTTTGAGCCTTGGATCCTTGTAATTGTTTTGCTTGATAAAGCTATCTTTTGTTATAAAAGACTTTGCCAAAAAAAAGTCTTTGGCTTAAGGCATTTAAATAATGCAAGCTTCAAAGTTAGTGAACAGATTATGAAAAATGTCTGAATAGTAATTTGGAAGGCAATTTGCACATATATTTCTATCTGGAAGAATAATAGTTTGTAAACGAAATACATCTTAGGCCATAATTATAAGTGTCAGAACATGAAAGGATTGGTGAATTGGAGAAACAGAAATTAAAAATAAAACTTAAAAAAATAAGTCAGAATATCATAATGGTACAAAATAAATGAGACAATAGAAACATAGACATTTCCCTAATTCATAATGTAGTTATTTGTTCTGGAGATTTGTTCATTATTGTAAAAACTAGCTACATTTAATCGTTTTAATTGTTGTTATGAAAATACTTTGCTTCATTTATTTTAAATATATCCTACTAAAAAAAGAGTATATATAAAAACACATGTACAATTTAGAACATAACGTTAAAACAAACACTTACGTATTTTCCAACCAGCAAAAGGAAAAGAACCTTAATGGTGATCTTGTGTATTTGTGTCCAGATGCGTTTTTCTCCCTTTACCTGGGGTAACAATCATTGCATATTTTGTGTTTATCAATTCTTTCCTTTAGAAATGCTTATCCATTTGTGTATTTATGCCTAAACAATAGATGGTTTCATTTCGCTTGTTTTGAGCTTTATTATATTTGTTTGTAGTCACCATGGATGTAACCTTTTTCCACGCAAAATTAGCTTTCTAAGAATCATCCATGTTGGTGGATATAGCTCTGTGATATTCCATCATGTGATACTGCAAGTTATAACTCTAGTTATATATCTATTTTCCAATCAATGAATATTTACATTGATCCAAATTTTCATTATTATGCACAGTCTGGCAAGGAAGACTCATATATGACTCCTGGTACATGGGTACAAGGATTCTATAGGCTATATACCTAATCGTGGAATTGTTGAGTCTCAGAGTATTCAAATGTTCAACTTGACACATTATCATGAAACTGTTCTCCAGAGTGGCTTTCCAATTTACTCTTCCACCAAAAATGTGTTCCTATTGATCTACATCTTCTCTAGAACATCTTATTTTAGGTAATTTAATTTTTTCATTGTTATGAAATGGTATCTCACTGTCTTATGCATTTCTCTGGTTAATAATGAGATTGGTCATAAATTCATATGTTCATTGTGAAATGTCTATTCTTTTGTTGCCCATTTCATCTATTGGGATGGCTATCTTCTAACCGATTTTACATAGTTCTAGTGGTTGTTTATGCATTCTGGAAACCGGTTCTTTATTAATCATAGGTGTGGCATTATGGTTCACATTGTTACTCTCTTGCTATACTGTGATGAACAGAAGTTTTTCATTTTCATGAAGTAGACTTATCAACATTTTCTTATGTTTTAGATGTTTATTTAGAAACCCTTCTCTACAAACATTCTAATATTTTCTTTTAAAAGTTTTGAAGTTTTGACTTTTACATTTAAATTATTAATCAAATTAGAATTATCTTCCATATACATGTGAGTCCTCAATTCTTGCTCCATTAAACAATTTATCCTTCCTCGCATCAGTATCTTCCCACCTTAATTGCTATTGGATTATAATAACTCTTGATATTTGGTGTGCCAAATTCCCCCAACATATTAATCCTTTCGGATATTCTATTCTCAGCCCTTTATTTTTCCATATGAAACTCAGAATCATGAAGTTTATTTAAAATTCTGCTAGGATTTTGATAAAAATTTCCATAAAAAACTTTTCAGTTTGACATTGTTAGGACTGAGTTTTCTTATCCATGAATGTGAAATATCTGTGTTATTTTATCTGCAAAATAAAGATAAAGAAATATCTTTATTATTGTTTAATGTTTTTATGAAAAGTTCATGATTTTTTATCTAGAGGTATCACACATCTTTTTTTAGATATATTCTAGGATACTTTTTAGTTTTGTTGCTTTTGTAAGTGTTGTCATGTTGGGAGTCTCTGAGAACCTCCTCAAGCTTGATGACCCACTAGAAGGACTCTCAGGACTTAGAAGTGGTTATATTGATGGTCACAGTTTATTATAACAAAAAGACACAGATAACAATAAACAAAGAGAAAAGGCACATGGGGTGAAGTTCAGGAGAAATAAGGCACAAGCCTTCAGGTATTCCCCTCCCAGGAGTAAATATGCTAACTGAAGCACACAAAAAAAGAAAAGATAAATGCAAAAAAGAGCATAAAATATATATGACATAGTTTTAAAAATGTGTAACATGCATGTAATTGAAGTATCAGAAAGAATGGAGACAAGGAATAGGGGAAGAAGGAATATTTGAAGAGATAATAACCAAAAACTTTCTAAAACTAACCCACAAAATCAAGAAATTCTGAAGAAACTAGAAAAGATACATGCAAAATAAATCCCATTTTGGCTCATAGTGAACTCCTGAAAGCCAAGGACAAGGACCAATTACTTAAAGCACCCAAAAAAAAACAACATTGCTTTCATAATAGCAATAAAAGACTAATAACTGAATTTTCTACACAAATGATGGAAGCTGGAAGATATAAAGATCATAAGGATATATTCTATTCCTGGAATTGATGTGCCTTGGTCATAATGTCTTTTTTAAAATACAAAGTTGTAATCAGGTTTCTAAATAGTTTAAGATTTTTGCATCTAATTGTTTGGAAAGTTCCCCCTTTTTTATACTCATATCTGCATTAGCTATCAAGGCTAAAAATGACTGCTTTAAAAGAGTTAAGGAAAGTTTCCTCTTTGTTATACCTATGAAAAAGTTTATATACAATTAAAATTTGATGATAACATTTGTTATATTTTCTTATAGAACTATTTGTATTTGGTGTTCTATTTATGAGGAGGCTTTTAAAATATTGATTTGACTTCTTTAGTAGTTGTAGGGCACTGAAGTTTTCTGGTACTCTAACTGCAGCCCACGTAACTTATCTTATATTCTCATTATCATTTAGTTCTAAGTATTTTTTTACTTTCTATTATAAAGTATTCTTTGACCTAGGAGGTATTTAGAAGTTTGCTTTTAAACTGTCAAATGTATGAAATTGTCTTAATTTTCCTTTTATTACTAATAGCTACATTATTTTCCTTCTTGTGAGAGAAGGTAGTCTGTGGTACTTTTGGAAATATTTAAAGA